>NC_000010.11:5161515-5313030 GCF_000001405.40 Homo sapiens | reverse complement strand
TCTGCAAAGAACACTGGGTCACCTGGTTGTAACCTCAGATCTGCCACTGACTTTCTGGGGGAGCTTGGGAGAATCACCCAGCTCCTCTGGGCACTTGTCTGGGTGGCCTCTAGGGCTCCTTTCAGTTGGATGGTTCTAGAAAGTCTCCTTGTTATTTCCTCCTATCTCAACTTCTCACTCTTGACAGAGAACACTGGCGGCATGTGGAGTAAAAGAAGTACTTTCTTGGCATAAGAAAAACTTCAATGCCTAGTCCCTTTCAGGGAAGAGGTGGATGACTGGTTTGCAATGGGTGCCAGCTCTTGAAATACGCTTACTGTAGGTATGATTTCCCCTAATCAGCAGAGGTGCTGTTATTCCAGCAAGCGTCAGAATATGGGCTCATAAATATTATACTCTCTTGTGCTATTGTGGGCAATAGGGTACTTGACATCATCTAACAACACTTCAAAGTCAAGAGTCAATTGTTGCTGTTTTAGTGACTCTTCTTGGTGTCTGAATTAGCATCTGCTATGGTTTGAATGTAGCCCCCAGATTTCATGTGTTGGAAACTTAATCCCCAAATTCATATGTTGATGGTATTTAAAGGTGGCACCTTTGGGAGGTAAATAGGATTAGATAAGGTTGAGAGGGTGGGGCTCCCATGATGGGCCTGGTGGCTTTAAAAGAGGAGGAAGAGGGACCTGAGCTGGCACATTTGCTGATGCCCTCCACCATGTTATCACACAGCATGAAGGCCCTCACAAGATGCAGTCCCTCAACCTTGGACTTCCCAGCCTCCAGAACCATAAGAAATACATTTCTTTTCTTTATAAATTACCTGGTCTCAGGTATTCTGTTATAACAACAGAAAATGGACTAAGACAGCATCCTCCCTCCTAAGTCTTTGTGATGTATTTAAAATCTCCTTTAAGGGGCAATAAAACCAAGAGGGCTACAGAGCTTCAACCTGTGGCTTGTCAAATGCAGCCTGGTCACCAGAATGCCATGTGTCTGCAGTGTGGCGGGGGGACAGGCAGAGCTTTCCAGCCTCCAGCCTCTGTCTCAGGCTGGCTTGTGGCCCAAACAGGAAAGGGTGACAGCTTTGGTTGAAAACATTTTTTTTTTCCTGTAAATGATAAATACTTTATGGGAAGGTTAACATGCTAAGATAGTATTCATAAGTAGTTCCTTATGAATCCTTTAAGTATTCATAAGTAGTTCCTTATGAATCCTTTAAGTATTCATAAGTAGTATTCATCAGTAGTATTCATAAGATAGTATTCATAAGTAGTTCCTTATGAATCACACAATCCTTTATAACCGTTAAGAGTAAGTTTTCTTAGAGGGAGCATGAGAATTTCTCATTTTCTCATTTCTCTTCTGGCAAAAAGTGCCTTAAAAAGTTTCTATTCAACAACTTAACCCTCTTTTCCAACATGCTTTTTTTTTTTTTTTTGAGACGGAGTCTCACTCTGTTGCCCAGGTCTAGGCTGGAGTGCAGTGGTGCGATCTTGGCTCACTGCAAGCTCTGCCTCCCAGGTTCACACCATTCTCCTGCCTCAGCCTCCTGAGTAGCTGGGACTACAGGCGCCCATCACCATACCCAGCTACTTTTTTGTATTTTTAGTAGAGACGGGGTTTCACCGTGTTAGCCAGGATGGTCTTGATCTCCTGACCTCGTGATCTGCCCGCCTCAGCCTCCCAAAGTGCTGGGATTACAGGCTTGAGCCACCATGCCCGGCCTCTAACATGCTCTTTTGAACTCACTCCCATGGTGCTTTTTCTCTCAAGGACACCAGCAAACTTGATTCTTCTCAGGGACACCAGCGACATTCATTTTGTCAAACCAAACAATCCACTCTCCCTTCTTGTGTTACTTGACCTGTCAGCACCACTGACATGCTAGGCACCTGCACAGATTCCCACATGTAGTGGGTTGGGAACAATGAGCTTGGAGGGTTCATGGCTTTAGAGCAAGTGGAGGGAAGCCTGCCCTTTGCCTAGGGAAAGACATTACTTCCTCCCTGAAGGCTGCTTGCTATAAGCACAACCCTGAGACACAGCCCAGGCAAGATGCAGTCAGGACCATGCATTCTGGGCATAGCTGGCAAGAAAATGCAGTGACGTGGAGGGTCAGGTGGAAGGCCTCTTCCAAAAGTGTGTGTCCCAAAGGCAATCATTCTCAAATTCCTGAACCCTGGTTCTCCAGCATCAGTCAAGCTTAGTCTTACTATTAATTAATTATCAGCAAATATCCCCATGTTAACACACACCTAATAATGATTATAAGGATAACTCACATGTATTGAGCATGTACCATGCGGTAAGCCTGACTATGGCCTCATGTAATCTCCACAACCTCTCAGTAAGGAAAATATTGTTTGGCTCATATAGATTAGGTAATTCAACAGAGAATAGTAAGTAGTGGAACTGATATTCAAACCTACATATGCTTGGCTGGGCATGGTTGCTCATGCTTGTAATCCCAGAACTTTGGGATGCCAAGGTGGGAGGATCCCTTGACAATAGGAGTTCGCTATTAGCCTGGGCAACACAGTGAGACCCAGTCTCTACAAAAATAATTAAAAAATTAGACAGGTGTGATGGCACACACCCATAGTCTCAGCTACTCGGGAGGCTGTGGTGGATCACTTGAGCCCAGGAAGTTAAGGGGGCAGTGAGCAAGGACTGTACCACTGCATTGTAGCCTGGGTGACCCAGTGAGATCCTGTCTCTAAAAAAACACACAAACCGAACCAACACACACAGAAAACCTATGTTTGCTTGATTCCAAATCTGTCCTCTTTATGCCTCATCACCCTTCCTGATAGGATTAAATGTGCAGCATTGCATGACGTACACATATAAGAGAGTAAAGAAGGAAGGAAGAGGACCAAGAATCACGTTTTAAGAAATACTTGAAGAAGCCAAGTGGTGAATTTTTAAAAAGAGGGATGGTGAACAACAATGTATGAAAGCTCAGGCAGATGAGGTCTGAGGACAGAGCAGTGCTTGGCTGCTTGTGTAGAAAAAGGGCTTTGGGTGGGAGCATGCTTATCCTCTTCTCTCTGTTGGTCATGAATTACAGTTGGACTTTCAGGTTAGCTGACTGACAGCTTATACATTTTGTAAGATACAAGAACTCAAGACAATGTAAATCCAAGGGTGGAGTGGAGGTAAGGGCCGATGGAACAACTCACAGCACCAGCCAGCTGGAGATGGAGATATGAGAGGCAGCAGGCAGGATGACTGATGGTGGAGCCCATGGGCTTTGGTGTGAGACTTGGCTTCAAACACCTGGACATCATTTTCTAGCTCTTTTGAGAGTTAGGTCTTAGGAAAATCTTTTTATATCAGATTCTGAATTAATTGAATGTAATCAATAGCTATTTAGAAAGGAAGATGAAAAATATGCAGTCTTCATTGTGAAATAGATAAACCCCATGCTTAGGAAAAGCTTTTAATTTGAAATTTTACATAGAGTTTTTGTTTAGTGTTTTTTTTTTTTTTAAACTAGTAAATGGCACACATCATCATTTTCCTCAGCTGAGTAATATACGACCCTGGTGAATAGTAGAGAAGTAATTATTTCATTTACTTTATCTCTATCATTTTTTCCAAGGGAGAGTGGGTCTGTGAAATTTTCAGAAGCTCAATATGTCTGACTTGCAAATTAGCAGAGCTGAAAGGTGGAGAGGCTACCTTACTCTATCATCTTGGAGAGACACTTGATTGCAGAAGAAAATAAAGGCATTTAAACGGCACTTACAGAATGTTTTCTACCCTGGACTTTGTTTCCTCATTCATTCATCCCACAAATGTTTGTCAAACACTTCCTATGCCAACCATTGTTTTGAGGGTTTAATGAAAATTAAAGCTAGAAGAAAACACATGAGTCTTTTTTGTTGATCAAAACTATTCAATAGCTTTATTCTTCCATTCCATCAATATTATATTCATCTGATTACTCTTAAATTCCAATATTCCAATACACAAAGTCTCCTTTCTCTCCAGCCAACTGGTCAACTCTTTGCACCTAACTCACCACCCCATCTTGTTCGTGTTGTCATCATTCTGCCTGCCAGGAACGTTCACTCCTCTTCAGTGTATAATTTTTTTTTTCCCGTCAGATTCTAATTCAAGTCCCACTACTTTCATGAAGCCCTCCTCACCTGCTTTAGCCTGTGAGACTCCTGGAATCCTTCTAACAGCTCTCATCCCTGAATGCCCGGATGACCTTTTCTGATTATAAAAATATTGCAGGATGAGTAAGGAAAATTTGAAAGAGAAGGAAATATATCACCTCAATTCTTCTTTGCAGAGAACATTATACTTGGCATCTTGTGAATTTTTTATATGGACTTAAAAAAGCAGAACTGATGTAATAATGCATATAAAATTTTATATCTTATTTCTCCTGCTTAATGTTATATAATTACTATTTCTCCAAGTTATTAAAAACTTTCAGTTATTATTTGTAACATTTGCCTGATTTTCCACTTGAAATGTGTACCATAATTTACTCAATAATTCCTCTGTCATGAAAAATTTAGTTTGAGTTTAGTTTTTTCCTATCATAAATAACCCTGAGATAAACATAAGGCTTACTCCATATTATAAATTATTTACTTAATTAAAAATCTTAGAATTGGAATTACTATATCAAATGATGTAAACATGTTGATATATATTGCAACATTGTTGTACAAAAGGTTAATATTAATTTTCATTCTTGAGTAGACAGTTATTTCACCATATCCTCATTAGCACTAAGTATTCTTTAATAAAAACAAAACAAAAAACTTTGCTAACTTGTGTCACCTGTTTGTCATTTGGCACATGCAGCAATGATCTTCTTCCCGAAATACATTAGTCACCACACTCCCAAATCAGAGTCAGGTTATAATTTAGATTGTACTATTGATTTGAATACCCACTTAGACCTCTCGAACCTCCCACCTCACTTGTTGAAAAATTACTGTGCCCTCTGCAAAGTAAGCTGCGGTGACAATGAGGATTTCACAGCTCCTTCTCCTCTAGGATGGTCATCTTCTTTTGGGATGCAGCCTCAGGGGTCCCTGTGTTCCTTCTCCCTTTCTTCATACTGGCCCCTTCTTCGTTGGGCAACTTGTAATGTTCCGGGAGCTTTGGTGGCTTTAACCAACAGCTTCTTGCTGTTTCCTCAGTTGGCAGTGTGGAGTTATAGTTTTTTCCCCCAGCATTTGTCAGTGTTGAGCATATTTTTCTCATAACTGCTCCCCCCTTCTGCGATGTGAGATCCTATCAATATCGTTCTAATGGATCTGCCTTTCCTTCATTTCCTGTGTGGACTCTGCCCACGCCAACATGTGGGTTCTCCAGTTGTCTTCCTGGCCTCTCATTCTACAGTCTTCCTGGGCAACTCCACCTGCCTCCAAGGCAGACTTATCTCGGTGTAACAATGAGGATTTTAAAATTATATATTACATTACATAATTATTATATTGCATACTTTTATTACATATTTTTATTTAATTTATTCAGTTATTTAACTTATTTAATTTTATTACATAATTCATTACATAATGACTACGACAATTTTCAAAATTACATTAAATGTATCTTGGTGCAAAATCTGTAACTGAAATCTGCCCCCTGCTCCTGAGCTTCAGCCTAATATTCCAACACCTACTAAGTATTTCCATTTGGCTGTCTTCTAAGGTTGTAAGGAAAAGTTCTCTGGGAAGGAAATTGGAGGAAAGAGACTTTATTCCAGCAAACAGCTGACAAACGAGGGAGATGCAGCCTCCGGTGTAAACAAAGATGTGTTCCAGGGAACAAAGGGAGGGTTTGGTGTTTTCTTAAATTTTATTTTATTTTTATTTTTTATTTGAGGGATGGAGTCTTGCTGTCACCCAAGCTAGAGTGCAGTGGCACAATCTCATCTCACTACAACCTCCACCTCCTGGGTTGAAGTGATTCTCCTGCCTCAGCTTCCCAAGCAGCTGGGGCTAGGTTTTATAGCAAAAGTTTCTGCCCAATCAGGTTCAAGTATGCAAATGAAAACTTCAAACTGATTGGTCAACACAGCTGAACACTGATTGGTTGATACAGCTGAACCCTGATTGGTTGGTTCCGATGAGCTCTCCTTTGTTGGTTTAGGTGAACTCTAATTGATTGATTCAGGTAAGCTCTGATTGGTTTGTTCAAGTGAGCTCTGAAAGTTCCAAAGTTAAATAGAGGTGTGGGTTTTGGGGAACTGACGGTGCTTGTGTGACCTCCAGTCAACAAATGGCTACTTGGCTGTATTTAAAATTTGCGCCTGGTTAGCTGCTTGGGATCCATCTTGAAGGATTGGCTCTGTCAGGTTCACATTTGTGTAAACGACCTTCGAGCTCAGCATGTCCACAGTTACAGTGATTGTTCCTCTGGACCCACAACCCTTTCTCCTTCTCCTGTGTCCTCTAGACAGCCTGATAATACCATCTTCCCATTAGCTCTCTGATATGGTTTGGCTGTGTCCCCACCCAAATCTCATCTTGAATTCCCACGTCTTGTGGGAGGGACCTGGTGGGAGGTAATTGAATCATGGGGGTGGGTCTTTCCTGTGCTGTTCTCCTGATAGTGAATAAGTCTCATGAGATCTTATGGTATTATAAGCGGGAGTTTCCCTGCAGAAGCTCTTTCTCTTTGCCACCATCCACAGATGTGACTTGCTCGTCCTTGCCTTCAGCCATGATTGTGAGGCCTCCCCAGCCTGGTGAAACTGTAAGTCCAATTAAACCTCTTTCTTTTGTCAGTTGCCCAGTCTCTGGTATGTTTGTTTTATCAGCAGCGTGAAAACGGACTAATACACTCTGTGAACTAGAAGAGTAGAGGTCCTGCAGTCCTCATCGTCGGTACCCTGGACTACCAAAATAAAACTTTGCTGGTCTTCCTGTCTCCAGACCCGCCCTATACCCTTGAGCCGGAGTGACCTTCTTCAATTTGCTTAGAGGCCTTCTATAGCTGGTCATCGTCAGGATTAAGTTAGAAATCCTGAGTTCAGTACACAAAAGCGAGCAGCACCTGGTCTCTGCTACCTCTCCATCTTTTCTGGTATAATATGCAAATTGTTTCTCACAAGGACCCCGGCTGCATGAATTCCGGTTGCTTCTTAATTGAGCTGTCAGAATCCTTGTTTTCTGTAACAGATTCCTAGGGGCAGTGCCATGCTTTGCAGTTTGTGAATTTCAGAAAGCCTAACAGGTGAGGCACCACCCCTAGAGCCCTGTGGTCACACCTCACATGCCCTGTCTGGGGGAAGACAGCAATTCTGTGTTCTAACTCTCTCTGACGGTCATTCGCTGTGTGATCTTGGGAGAAAGACCTGAGTTTTTGGGCTTCAGTTTGCTCGTCTGTGGAATGAGCTAGTCAAAGGGAACTTGGAAATGGTTGCTAAAGTCTCCTTAGGTGACCTCATTTGTGTCTGTTTTTGGTTAAAACCCTGAGCTGATGTAATATCAGAGCCAGGCGTTAGACGGCAGCATTAACTAAAATTTGCTGGGAAGTCCACATATGCTGGACCTTATCTTGGAAGTTGGTTTTGCTTTGTTGCAGCAAATATTGATGATAAAATACAAAGTGAGCATACGGAGATATATACATTATGCGATCTTATGAGGATCAGGTTAAGCATTTGGTTCTTTTCCTAAAAGTAATGGGAATACTTCAGATTATGATGAAGATTCACAAAATAAGAGATACTGAAGATTCACATGAAGGTTCACAAAATAAGAGACACTCTAAGACAAATCTAATCACTTCTGTTAACTTTTCCAATTATTATAGGAGAATTTTTTTTAAATACTGAGGCAGAATATTAATAGAATCAGTCAGTGACTCTATATTTGAAAATAACAGAAACTGATGAGTCTTAGGCAATTTGCATGAACATAGTGCAAAAATAGAATAGTTTCTCCTGAAATTGATCAAATAATTGCGAGTCTTTGAAAAATTAGTGAGTTAATATTAATCTTCATAAATTGGTATATTTTTGCAATCTGAATATTTCTGTTCATGCGAGTGTGAGATGCTAATATTTAATGCTGCACAGTTCTCTTCTACAATATGCCAGGTTATATAGTTTAAATGTTTGAGTTGAAAAAAGACATTAATAACCAGTGGGGCCCTTTGTGGCCATCACTGAAGTGGGAGTGGCCAAAATGAAGTTCAATCCCTTTGTGACTTCTGACCGAAGTAGTAACTGCAAAAGGCATTTCAATGCGCCTTCCCACATTCACAGGACAGTTATGTCTTCCCCTCTTTCCAAAGAGCTGAGACAGAAGTACAACGTTTGATCCATGCCCGTCTGAAAGGATGATGATATTCAGGTTGTGTGAGGGCACCATAAAGGTCAGCAAATTGGCAAAGTAGTCCAGATTTACAGAGAGAAATATGTCATCTACATTGAATGGGTGCAGCGGGAAAAGGCTGATGACACAACTGTCCGTGTAGACTTTCGCCCCAGCAAGGGGATTATCAGTAGACTAAAACTGGGCAAAGAGCACAAAAAGATCCTTGCATGGAAAGCCAAATCTCACCAAGTAGGAAAGGAAAAGGGCAAATACAAGGAGGAAACAATTGAGAACATGCAGGAATAAAGTAATCTTGTATACAAGCTTTCATTAAAACTTGAAAAAAAAAAACTGGTGGGGATAATGTAACACAGATATAGTACAGGGAGAGGTTAAAAGTGTCTGTATGCCTATGTGTGTGTGCCTGTACGTGTTCATGTGTGTATGCATGGGTGCATAAGTGTGTTTTTGTGGTATGTGTGCTCGCCTGTGTGTGCATGTATGTGGGCTTGTACTGGTTCTCCTTTACTTTTTTGTTTTAATCAGAGGAAAGTGAATAATAGGTGAAAAGAGAGAGGGTCTATTTTGATCTAAAAGTAGTGTGGTGGGGGGGTTAGAATTGCCCCTGGGGAAGGTAATGTTCTTGATTGCAAATCCTACGGCAGGTAAATAAGCCCTTCCATAATCAGAAAAAGCAGCTCGCTGTTCTCTAAGGAAGGGAAGGGTCTCCCAGTCAGCACGTGCTCTTGAATTGTGCAAATGTGAAGGAAAAGATTTAAAAAAAAATTACAGTGATCGTGGCTGTCTTAGTCTGTTTAGGCTTCTGTAACAAAAATGCCATGCAGAGGGTGACTTATAAACAGCAGAAATTTATTTCTCAACATTCTGGAGGCTGGGAAGTCCAAGATCAAGGCTCAGGCAGGTTTGGTGTCAGGTGAGGGTCTGTTTCCTGGTTCTCGCTGTGTTGTCACATGGCAGAAGGGGCAAACAAGCTCCCGCAGGCCTCTTTTCTAAGGGCACTAATCCCATTCATGAGGGCCCCATCCTCATGACCTCATCAACTCCAAAACTCCACTTCTTAGTACTATCACCTTGAGGGTAGGATTCAACATATGAATTTTGGAGGGATACAGACATTCAAGACATAGCAATGGCCAAATGCACATTGCTAGGGAAGCTAAATGAGCTCATGCTTTCATACTTGAAGACAAAAATGGCTTTAACATATTTCATAAAAACCAGTGCAGTTGAGAGAAAATGGAGATTTAAAATTTCATGTAAAGTAAATGGTGATAAATAAAAGTCGAATCTCCCATCTGTTTTCCTTTCATCTTCTCCATCAAAGATAATACTTTGGTTTTAAAAAGGGCAGGGGAAATGAAATTGGAAGATAAACTAGATAACATGATTTTAAAGCAGACTTCAAGTTCAAAAAAGGTACTTATCCTTTGGTTCAGTTTAGAAATCCACTCAATGTTGACTGAAATGAATAGAAGTTGTTGCAGGTCCTAAGCTGGGGAGAAGTTGCTGAACCACAGTCAATGATCCTTAAAGAATCATGAATAGAATAAGACTGGTGGACAAATGTACATTCATTGTTTGTTGAAATATCAATTTAATAAAGTGAATTCTGCACACTACAGTTCTAGAAAATTAACATCAACATTGGACAATACTTTTAATTTTTGTGTGTGTGCACATGTGTGTGTGTGAGACAGAGTCTTGCTCTGTTTCCCAGGCTAGAGTGCAGTAGCATGATCTCAGCTCACTGCAGCCTTGACCTCAAGGGCTCAGGGCTCCCAGCTACTCAGAAGGCTGAGGCAGGAGAATCGCTTGAACCCGGGAGGCAGAGGTTTCAGTGAGCCGAGATTGCACCACTGCATTCCAGCCTAGGCAACAGAACAAGACTCCATCTCAAAAAAAAAAAAAATAGGGCAGCTAGGCATGGTGGTATACCCCTATAGTCCCAGCCATATGGGAGGCTGAGGTAGAAGGATGACTTAAGCCCTAGAGTTTGAGTCTAGCCTGGGTAACACAGTGAGACCCCATCTCTAAAAAATAAATGAAAAAGTAAAAACTGGGAAGCTCCTTGATTAATATGTGACATGTTTATTATAGAGACAGTTTGGCTTTTAAACTCACAGATAATATTGCTCTGTCTCTGAAGGGACAGCAGACATTTCCAGACCAACTCCTGAAAATGACTAATGGGAGCAAGAGTACCCAAAAGACTACAAACCCTTTCACCAAATCAGGGGTCAGTAAACTGTCATACGTGATTTGGCAAGAAAACTGAAGGATCTATGAGACGTTTGAACCGACACATTTTAGAGAATTTCCTTTAAATGATGAGGGTATTGAAGGAAATGAGGGTAAATTCTATTAGAATGTAGCCAATATCTGGAATTGGCCAGGAAGTAAAGATATCCCAATTTTGTTTGGATGGTAGAGATGGCTTATAGAAAGTGGTCATTGCTAGGTTACTAAATTTGTTATATTCCAGAAAAATCAAAGGAGAAAGAAAGACATCAAATACCACACAAATATAAAATGACAGCTGCCCATGAGCTTTTGAAACACTAAAGACAAATTTAGTTGAGTTTCTGGATTTCAGTTTTGAAGTTTCTGTTGGCCCAACATGTTCTCAAAAGGATGTAGCCTTTACTGGATCTGATTAGGCATTATATGCATAAGATGTAACATCTTGGATTTCTACTGGAATTATTACCACCTGAAGAATTTCAAAGTCCTAGCTATAAGAACAATCTGAATTATGGATTAAATTTTTTCTTTGGCATATATTCAGGGTCTTCTGTATAGAGATGAATTTGTGGTCATAATTGTGACAATATTATAAAATAATATTGATTTCTGCAAGGTCAAGTGCAGCAGACATCAAGGCTTACTAGCTGTCTTGCTCTAAAACTTTCTATAAGAAAAGCAATCTCATGTAGAGACAACACCAGGGATTTTAAAAGAAAAGAGCTATGATTTGGATTCTAGAAAGCATGCTTTCAATGAATGAGTTCATGTTTTTGAGAGTGCTTTGTACACTTTAAAATGTTCTATAAATGTGCATTCAACTTAAGTGAAATTGTCTATGATACTCAGAACCCATTACAATTCAGGTGAATGGATTTGGTAGCACCAGAAAGAGTGTAATTGAACTTTATAGGTTTATTTGGTAAGAAAGCGTCCTGTTCTCAGTGACTCAGGTGTAGGTACACAATGCTCTGAACCAATAGGGTTTGTTAGGACACTTTCCAGTGATGAGCAGGATTTCTCTGAGGAGTACACCGCTGTTACTCAGAGCAATTGACAAGGTAAGTAGGAGTTATGGCTTTGATATTTGCCATATTTGCTTCCCTCACTGCCTGTTTTCGTGCAGTTGCCCTGGATGTGGGATGGATGCAAAGAAGATTGTATTTAACTTACTGGCAATAGGATGAGGAGGTGGGCATCTATCAAGATAATGGTGAAGAGAAAACATTACCAAAATGCAGGGAGAAGACACACACAGACTGACAGGAGCAAAGGATGAAGGAGACTTTGACCCACTGGCACAGCAATAGAATGAGGAATAAAATAAAATATCTTCCGGGGTGATCAAAAGCTAGCGTATTTTATAGATCATGATAGGTTAACATCGTCAGATTTTCTGTAATCTACAAAACCTTATGATTGTTTCAGATAATTTACAATCCTGCATACTGCTATGCCTGTCAGGACTTGTTAAATTCCCACAAAATGCAAAAGTTAATGACTCTGTGAACCCTGAAGAGATACAGCTATTATTCATGGCCAGGCATAGTGGCTCATGCCTCTAATCCCAGCATTTTGGGAGGCTGAGGCAGAAGGATCACTTGAGCTCAGGAGTTTTAGGCCAGCCTGGGCAACATCGTGAGACCTCATCTCTACTAAAAATTAAAAAAAAATCAGCCAGGCATGGTGGTGCGTGACTGTATTCCTAGCTACTCAGGAGGCTGAGGTGGGAGGATTGCTTGAGCCCAGGAGATTGGGGCTGCAGTGAGCTATAATCATGCCACTGTACTCCAGCCTGGGCAACAGATTGAGACCCTGTCTCAAAAAAACTCCAACAGCAACAGGCCGGGTGCAGTGGCTCACGCCTGTAATCCCAGCACTTTGGGAGGCCGAGGCGGGCAGATCACGAGGTCAGGAGATCGAGACCATCCTGGCTAACATGGTGAAACCCCGTCTCTACTAAAAATACAAAAAATTAGCCAGGCGTGGTGGCGGGTGCCTGTAGTTCCAGCTACTCGGGAGGCTGAGGCAGGAGAATGGCGTCAACCCGGGAGGCGGAGCTTGCAGTCAGCCGAGATTGTACCACTGCACTCCAGCCTGGGCAACAGAGTGAGACTCCCTCTCAAAAAAAAACAAAACAAAACAAAACACAAAAACAAAAACATAAAAAACAACCCCAACAGTAACAAGAAAACAACTGTTAGTCAGGTGGAGTGTTACCCCAAACTTAAACACTTTCCAAGCTATTCTTGCCTTGATCACTCATGTTAGCAGAGAAGGGGGACCCTGTTAAAAACATTAAATGGCCAGAACAATAGAGGGAGAGTCTATTTGGACTCCCTGGGGAAATTGTTTTCCAAAAACAGCCCAAGAACAGCCCAAGAGAGCCGGTTTGTTATAGTTCTAACTGAGGAAGAGAGAAATTATCTATCTCGAGAACTTGAGTGAGAGGCTTGCTTTCTTCTCAGGGAGATTCTGGTGAAGATACGAAAGAAAGTTCTGTAAATAAACATGAGATTGTGACACAGATGTTTAAGAATTCTCTAACAATAATCGAAAATCTGGCCTGTCACACAGTGCATGTTCATGGTGAACCTAAATCATTTGTAGACAACCTACTTCTGGGTCAGGGCTTTATACAGGGCAGAGCAGCTCCCTCGCTGTGATCTATTGAAAGTCAGCTCTTGATTTGTAAAAAGTATAAATAAAACAGAAAAAGAAAATTAAAAAAAATTCTGAAGGAAATAACAACAAAAGCTAGTTTCTAAACACTCTTTGGCAAGGAGAGCTGAAATACTTACAGATAAGTAATAAACCCATTGTTTTGCTTTAATCTCTTTGAAGGAACAAACTGTTGGCTTGTCAAGGGTGCAGCGAAGGGACTGATCGCCATCTGATTGATGAGTTTGTGAAGGAGTTCCCATAACTGAGCAGACATGTTTTGTGCCTGGGCAGTGGTGCTGCCTGTGGTCTCTGAGCAGTGGTCTGTGAACGCTGCAGAACTGTAGGGAACAGAAGAGGGTAGGCATTCGCAGGCAGGTGGATGCCACTCTAGGGTGTGTGTTAGTCAGGGTTCTCCAGAGAAACAGAACTAACAGGAGATCTAGCTACAGGTGTAGAAAGAGAGTTATCATGAGAGATTGGCTCACAGGATTAGGGGTGCTGAGAAGTCCCATGAACTGCCATCTGTGAGCAGGAGATGCAGGAAAGCTGGTGGTGCAATGCAGTCCAAACCCAGGCCTGTGGGTCAGGGGAGTGGCCAGTGTAAGTCCCGGTCCATCTGAAGGCCAGAGAACCAGGAGTGTCAGCATCCAAGGGCTGGAGAAGGTGGGCGTCCTGCTCCCAGAGGAGAGCGAGTCAGCCCCTCTGCTGCCTTTTTGTTCTATGTGGGCCCTTGAAGGATTGGATGATGCCCTCCCACATTGGTGAGGGTGATTTTTTTCTACTCAGTCTACAGATTCAAAATTTGATTCAGTCAATTCAACTAAAATACTAATGTCTCTGGAAACACCCTCACAGACATACCCAGAAATAACGTTTTACCAGCTATCTGGGCATCATTTAGCCTGGTCAAGTTGACATTTAAAATTAACCACTGGCCAGGCATGGTGGCTCACGCCTGTAATCCCAGCACTTTGGGAGGCCGAGGCGGGCTGATCACCTGAGGTTGGGAGTTCGAGACCAGCCTGACCAACATGGAGAAACCCTGTCTCTACTAAAAATACAAAATTAGCCGAGCGTGGTGGCACATGCCTGTAATCCCAGCTACTCGGGAGGCTGAGGCAGGAGAATCACTTGACTCTGGGAGGAGGAGGTTGTTATGAGCTGAGATCGTGCCATTGCCCTCCAGCCTGGGCAACAAGAGCAAAACTCCATCTCAAAAAAGAAAAAAAAATTAACCATCACAGTGTGTGTATGTGTACGTGTGTGTATATGCATGCATGTGTATATGTGTATATGTGTCTGCATGTATGTATATGTGTTTGAGTGTATGTGTATATGTGCATATATGTATGTGTATGTGTGTGTATGGGTGTATATGTATGCATGTATGTGCATACATGCATGTGTGTATGTTAAGGAGAGAAATCTATAAACCTCAAGAAAGAAGCTGACAAGTTTCTACAGCAGATTACTAACCCAGCTGGTGGTCACCCCTTCACTGTGCAGCTCCTGGGACCCATGGTCTAAGAATATCTTCTGCCTTTGCATGGCTGGGGTGCCTCCTTCCCCTAACCTCTTTCCTGGTCCTCTTCCTTGTGGTTGCGGGACTGACCTGGCAGAACGATGGCCCGGTATACCTGTCGAGGTTGTGAAAGATGGCTTCATCTACAAATATTAAATCTGCAGACTAAAATGCCTGTGATATTCATGTCTCTTTGTGGTGTGGTCTGTCTCCCACAAATATTGAAAAGAAAGAAAGATAAGCTTGAGTGAAGAGCCCTGGAATCTTTAGCCCCTGTGTCTTCAACTATGCCCCATTGCCCATCATTGGTGACTTTTTCCTGGTCAATTTCCCAACAATGATGAACCTGTTGTCCTGTTAGTATTGCTTTTGGTAGGAACAGTCTTCTGCTTCTTCCCGATTACTTCCCCCTTCCTTTCTTTGTCAGGCTGATGCCTCCCTGTGGCTTGGCTTTGAACCTGGTGGAACATTTGGGTTGCCCTCTGAGGCCTCCCGCCCTCCCAGTGAAAGCAGCTGGGGTCAGGCCTGCTTTGCTATCCCTTGAAAGGCACAGGCTGTCCTCATGATGGAGCCTCTGTCCACACCCATTCCACTCTTGGTTGCCTCATGCCGGCCACCCTAAATTTGTCTCATTGTTTCGAAAACACCAGTTATTTCACATCCTGTTGCTTTGTTCACAGTAATCTCTCTCTGGCATCATCTTTCCTGCCTGCCTCATGCACACTTACATCAGTTTCCTAGAACTGCTATAACACATTGACCAAAACTGGGTGGCTTAAAACTATGGAAACTTATTCTCTCACAGTTCTGAAGTCTGAAATTGAGGTGTTGGCAGGCCCACATTCCCTCTTGGGTATGTGGGTTCTTCAAATATAAGATGCTGACAGTTGTAAGATGCATTATTATTTTATATACTACTTAAGAAAGAAAAAACTCTGCCAACTAACTTATGTCATGCTATCAACTTTAAGTTGCATCCTGATTTCATTTTACGTGAAAAAATGTGCAATTAATGAAATGCAGCATAACTTACAGAAAGCCAAATGAATTCCACTCTCTGGAATCACAAGATTAGGATATATCAAACTGAATAAACAAATAAATGCACATTGGCAAAACTGGCCAAGCACAAAGAGGTTAAGACAATGTGGAAAGACCTTGCAAATACGACTTCTATATGCTCATTGGGTTCTGCCATTTTGAAGCACCCACACAAGTGTTGGAAGGCAGAAAGAAGCAGCAGCCAAATCCTAGGGCATTTGGTGTTTTCTGCTGGCAGTGAAAGTTAGAGGTGGCAGGCACAGCCTCTGGCTTCCAAGGTGACTACAGGCAGATGTGGGGTGGCTACACTCACTGCACCACCCGCTGTGCAGTGGTTCCTGGGCTCCTGTGTCCAGGGCACTGTGTGGCTGTGGCTTCCCGATTCTGGCCATCGTAGCTATGGATGGAGGTATGTTCTTGAGTGCAAGGATTTCCGAGGTAGCTTTCCTGATGGGGCAGGTGCAGACACTCATGTGCGGGGTCAGGTACACACTGTTCTTGGAGCAGTTCTTAGAGGTCATGTTAAGCTTCCATCTCCAGGCCTTACCAGTGTTTTCTAAGCAACCAAAATTATTTATCTCATTTCTGCTTAAAAGGCATAGAACAGTTCTTGGTTCTGGCACTGAGCTCCAGCTAATACAGTGTTTGAAACCAAACATGGTTGCAGGCAACTGACTCAAGATTGGAGTATTTGGATAGATTAAATTACGCTGAAGTAACAACTTCCAAATCTCATCAGCTTAACAAAATGAACTTCTGTCTGTCATTCATAGTGTCCAGGGCTTTGCTCTAGGTGGACATTCCGGGACTCAGGGTGATATGTTATTTTGGTATGCCAACCTGAGGCTCTGCAACAGGAGAAGGAAGCTGGGGAATTAGGTGCTGAATGCCAACTCAACATACAAAACTCAGTTGCATTTCCATACACCAATAACAAATTGGTTGAAAAAGAAGCAATATAATATTCCATGGTGTATATATAACACATTTTCTTTATGCATTCATCTGTTCATCAACACTCAGGTTGGTTCCATATCTTGGCTGCTGTGGAGTGCAGATATCTCTCTGACATACTGATTTCATTTTCTCTGGATACATACCCAGTAGTGGGATTGCTGGATCAAGTGGTAGTTTTATTTTTAGCTTTTTGAGGAACCTCCAACTATTCTTCATAATGGCCATTATTCCTGACTGCTCTTTTGAATGCTGAGTACCTCCTCTTTTCCTGCAGTGCATGCATGTAGAGAACCCAAGGCTGGGAGAGGAGAAAACTTGGGGTGCTGATAGCAGCAAGCTTTTCCGTATTAAAGGGAGCTGTGTTCTCTGAAGTTGGAGTGCCTTCAGCTGTGGCTTATCTCCCTTCAGCAAGCACAGGTCCCATGACATAGATTCTGAGGAAGACCTTGGTGAAGAATGTGGACTCCTAGCTCAGACCAAACTCTGCAACCTTAGCAAAGCTGGATATTCAATCTGTTGCATTCTTCTGATCATGTGTTACAATCTACAAATGGCAGAGCCATTGGCATTCAAACACCTGATGTTTTTCCCTGGTGTAATCCATGCCCCAGAGAGATAGGAAACCCTTCCTTCGTCTTCTTGGTCACAGTTTGGGAAGGTGTTTACCCCTGGGACCAGAGGCTCAAAATTCAGCAAAAAGTACTGATATGGTTTGGATATTTGTGCACTCCAAATCCCATGCAGAAATGTAATCCCCAGTGCTGAAGGCAGGGCCTGGTGGGAGGTGATTGGATCATGGACTGGATCACTCACGAATGGTTCAGCACCATCCCCTTGTGATGAGTTCATTCTCGCTGTGAGTTTCTGGAGATCCGGTTGTGTAAAGTGTGGCATTGTCCCCCCTTGCTCTCTCTTGCTCCTACTCCTGTGGTGTGAGACACGGGCTCCCCCCTTACCTTCCGCTGTCACTGTAAGCTCCCTGTGGCCCTCCCCAGAAGCAGATGCCAGCACCATGCTTCATGTCCAGCCTGCAGACCATGGGCCAATTGAACCCCTTTTCTTTATCAATTACCCAGTCTCGGGTATTCTTTCATCATGATGCAATTGCCCTAGTACCATCACTCCCACGTCCTAGTTTCAAGGAAGGCTGTTGTTTTAGTCCCAGCCCAAGGGAACATGTGAAGATATAGCCTCACAAAATTGAATGTGGAACTCTTGGACTTATTCTTACATGCCTGATTTAAAAAAAAATACTAGGGGCCGGGCGCGGTGGCTCACGCCTGTAATCCCAGCACCTTGGGAGGCTGAGGTGGGCGGATCATGAGATCAGGAGATCGAGACCATCCTGGCTAACACAGTGAAACCCCGTCTTTACTAAAAATACAAAAAAATTAGCCGGGTGTGGTGGCGGGCGCCTGTAGTCCCACCCAGCTACTCGGGAGGCTGAGGCAGGAGAATGGCGTGAACCCAGGAGGCGGAGCTTGCAGTGAGCCGAGATCGCGCCACTGCACTCCAGCCTGGGCGACAGAGCGAGACTCTGTCTCAAACAAACAAACAAACAAACAAACAAAACCTAGGAACAGTTGCACATAAAAGATACTCAGTAAATATTTCTGGAACTGAATTTCAGGTAGGCTATTTAGCCCCACCTATTAATCCTAACCTCTGGCAAAGGTGGCTTTAATCTTGTGAATGCTTAAGAAGCCTTAATGAGATTTAAGAAATTTTCCCAGGAACAAATAAGTTTTTCGTGTTATCCCCCTCAGTGAACACTGCGACACTTACATAACCCAGCATTCCTGCCCCATCAGCCTGAACTACAGAAGAAGGCGGTATTTCATTAACATCCCGTTGAGGATGCGGGGCCAGGGTCAGCCTGATTGACTGACACTCCTGTCTGCTCAGTGCCCCTCCTCCTCCCTCTCCTGCTCTGCTGTAGCCCAGGAGAGCGGCCTCTTCTGCCCTGGGTGCTGCCCTCTCTGCCTGCTGCCTTCCAGCTGGACTTGGCCACTGTGAGGCGCTGCTGAGAGCAGAAAGGGAAGCTGGAGTCCAGGTGCCTTTCTTCCCTTCTCTAGGGGACACAGCAGCAGCTTCCATCCCTCCAGTCGTCCTGGCTGCCTCCCTCAGGCCCTCCATGGCTGCTGCTTCTTCCAGGGACCCCGGGCTCTGCCTCCAGCACTGCTACCTCTGTTTCTCTAGCCTAGGAGGGTAGCGACTTCCTGTGTTTAAAAGCCTCTGGGTTGCTTTATTGTTTCCTGACTGGCTTCTTTGTAGATACTCCAACCGTCTGATTACACATCCTGTTTAAATAAGCAGCATGGATTTTTATATCCTGGTTCATGACTGATGCTGTTACCTCAAGATGCCCCTGGTGTTCTGAACCTCCTCAGGGCTGCCACCCTGCACCTGTCCACAAGCGGCCACGCGTGAACTCCCCCTGTGGCCACCATGCTGGCCTCCTGTGCTGCTGTGTTCTCTGACTAGAGCATTTGTCACTCAGCTGGGCATAGCTGTACTCTGCTGAGGAAGGCCCTGCTGTTAGTCCCAGCCCTGAGGGGAGGGATGACGAATGCTTTGCTGCTCTGTTTGAGTGCAACATGGGCCTCTCAATTTCCCACTGCAAAAAACAGTGTTGGACGCAATCTTTCATAAGGATTTAGAGATAGTTTGCAGATCACAGAAAATAAGAACAGAGCACAGAAAAACTTAAAAAAAAAAAAAACCCCACTGTGCCTATGCTTAGAACTCAATTTCATTCATTCCGCAAATATTTATTGAGCACTGACCACATACTAGGGAGCTTTTCTAGGTGTGGTGATTAGTGTTGGAGAAATCAGTCAATAAATATGAAAACATACCACAAAATAAGTGAATAATTCAGGCAATTGCTCTGGTCACAATTGTTCTGAAGGAACTAAAACTGAGGAGTAAGATGGAGAGACACAGTGGGGACTGGGGAGCTACTTTGATTAGAATGACACAGGGACAAAGACATCACCAAGAAGGTGAGACTGAAGCCAGAAACCAATGATGAGACAGAGGGGGTGATCGAGGCTCTGGAAAACCTCTGCACAGGTAGGTACGAGTCTCTATGTGATGCCCACATTTTCCTAGAGAAGAACTTGACAAGGACATGTCCATCTTGTTGCAGGGGCAGGGAGTGAGTCTCAGGAGATCTCAATTGAGTCTGTACCTTTGCTTGGGATGCAGGACCTGGGAGAGGTAGCCCAGAGCAGCATGAAGGCCTTGGCTGGGGTGGGGCAGGCCTGGGAGTGAGGGGCAGTGAGCAGCCCCAGAACACTATGACCCTGCTGCTATGGCCTCCCTTTGCCCTGTGCAATGAATGGAATCTTTACATCCCCACCAAAGTCGTATATGAAGCCTTAACCCCCAAGGTGATGCTATTTGGTGGTGGGTCCTGTGGAGGTGATTAGGTCGTGAGGGTGGAACCCTCATGAATGGGATTAGAGCCCCTCTTAGTCCATTTATTGTTGCTATAAAGGAGGACTTGAAGCTGGGTAATTTATAGAGAAAAGAAGTTTATTCAGCTCACAGTTCTGCTGGCTGGAAGTTTCAGGACTGGGCTTCTGGTGAGGGCCTCAGGCTGCTTCCAAGTGTGGAAGAAGGTGAAGGGGAGCTGGTGTGTGCGGAGATCGTGTGGTGAGACAGGAAGCAGGAAGGAGGGGAGGGGCCAGGTTCTTTTTAACAACTAGCTCTCATGGGAACTAATAGAGTAAGACCTTACCCCCCTCCCCTGGGAGGGCATTCATCTCTTCATGAGGCGTCTACCCCATGGCCCCCAAGCCTCCCATTAGACTCCATCTCCAACAATGGGGATCAAACTTGAACATGGGATTTGGAAGGGACAAATGTCCAAACTATACCAGTGCTTCTGATAAAATAGCCCCCAGAGAGATTGCGTGCCTGTTTCGCCACATGAGGACAGTGAGAGGACAGCTGTCTGTGACACGGGATGCAGGCCCCCGCCAGACCCTGAATCTGCCAGCACCTTGATCTTGGACTTTTAGCTTTCAGATCTGTGAGCTATCTATGTCTTTTGTTTATAACCCTCCCAGTGTACAGTACTTTGTCACAGCAGTCTTAACGAACCAGACTCCCGGTCAGAAGGTGTGGTCTTAACCAGACTTTTCAGAAGGCATTTTGAGAACTCTGAAAGCTGATCTTTTTGGCTCCCTACTTATGTGGGGGTGGTAAAAGAGGGGTAAGGTGTGTTTCCCCAGAGAGTCGGGCAGCATTTCTCTTTGTTGCTTGACAATGGATTCCCATTTATTCAGAGAGGATTATATGGGTGTGTCTTAGTCTGTTTCCTGTTGTGTAACAGAATAGCCGAGACTGAGTGACTCATAAAAAACAGAAAGTTGTTTGGCTCAGTCTTGGAGTCTTGAAAGTCCCAGATCACAGGCCCCACATCTGGTGAGGACATTTGTGCTGTGTCATCCCATGGCAGAAGGCAGGGGGCACGAGCGCAGGGGTAAGAGGATGAGAGACAAGAGAGGGCTGAAATGACTTTTGCAATAAACCCACTCTCACGATAATGGACCCGTTTTCGCAATAATAAGGTCAGTGCTTCATGACAGCAGGGCCGTTATGACCTAGTGACCTCTTAGAGGGCACGTCTTTACACTGTTGCACTGGGGATTATACTTTCAACACATGGACTTTGGGGGACACATTCAAACCACAGCAAGGTATTTGGCATTTTATCGCCATGCAATGTTAACATTTCTCTCATAACCCTGGGTTAGCCTTTCCTCGTGAATTGCAGCATCCTTGCTGAACTCTTGTTCTGTATGGTTAAATCTCCTATCAGAGTTTTGGGGCTGTATCCAACTCTTTGTAGTTTTGCTGTAAATAATGACTTTTCTTTCTGTCCAGCAAAATGTTTTAAAACAAGATGATACTTGATATGGAATGGCTCAAACATCCTTTATTCCTCTGATAAATAACTCACTTGGTGTGAATAATTCAGGCAATTGCTCTGATCACAATTGTTCTGAAGAAACTAAAACTGAGGAGTGAGATGGAGAGACACAGTAGGGACTGGGGAGCTACTTCAATGAGAGTGACACAGGGACAAAGACATCACCAAGAAGGTGGGAAGAAATTCTTTATCCCCTCATCATCCTATCTGGTGGTCCCCACTAGAGAAAACCCGCCAGGATTTCTTTCAGTGCAGCTAAAAAGGTGATGCTGGTGGCTGAGACTAGCTCTGAGAGGAGAACAAGCTTGCTCAGTTCTTTAAGGCCTCAGTTTTTAGCTGGCGGGTGGACTGAACGTTAGACAAATTTTTAACCTGTTGAATTGTGGACTCCAGGCAGTTCACATCAATGAAGACAGAATTTTCTTGTGACTTGATACGGAACATCTCTATTTAGTGCAAAAGCTTTAGCAATGGAATATAAAGGATATTCTCATCAAATTTATAGCAAACACAATGTTGAGATAAATGTAACCACATGGACTCATAGAATCAGACAGAGTTCTGACCTTGACCAGCCAGAGGGATGAGTTGAAAGTAAGATAAATTATAATTGTATGTTTCATAATTGGCTGTAAAATACGGATGGCACAAATACAGGTTGCAAGAAGCACAGTATAATAGAAACATTAAAGAAAACATGAGTTAGGTGTTTTATGTAGCAGAAGTTCCTTATTAGTTGAGAATGTAATTTGAATGATGTGGTTTTTTGGCCTGGACGGTAGAAGCTAAAGAGTATGCAGGGAAGGGCATCAGCTTCATCTAGGGAGATCATAGAAGGAGTCATAAAGGATGTGTGACTGGAGGAGGTGCATTTTAGATAAGTAAGAAGTCATTAAACTGCTGAAAACTAGGTGGGATAGAGAAAGCTGTTCCAGAAAGAGGCAATGGCTGAAAGAAAGGCAAGAATACAGACATTTATCCATGATTTCAGACAATTTTTTCTCACCAAAAGGATTCAAGAAAACAAGATCGAGACCATCCTGGCTAACACGGTGAAACCCCGTCTCTACTAAAAAAATGCAAAAAATTTAGCCGGGCGTGGTGGCGGGCGCCTGTAGTCCCAGCTACTCGGGAGGCTGAGGCAGGAGAATGGCGTGAACCTGGGAGGTGGAGCTTGCACTGAGCCGAGATCGCGCCACTGCACTCCGGCCTGGGCAAAAGAGCGAGACTCCGTCTCAAAAAAAGAAAAAAAAAAAAAAAAAGAAAACAAGACAATGAGAATCAAAAAACGAAACGGTCCTTGGTACAGGAGACAAAGATAATGAAAGTAGGAGTAGGTCTTCCTAAGAAATGTTGTTACGTGTGTGCTTGGGACCAGGTGTCAGGCTTTGTTCAATAAATTTTCAGTGAGGTATTGTTATGGGATTTATGATGAAAGGAATGGTGAGGAAGCTAACTTAGGTACTCTGGGAAAATTAGTGTTTAGATTCACTAGCCTAATGATAGTTTTATACCTTGTAAAATAAGTCTGGTGCCATTATCAAAGACATATTTGCATGCTTTTTTTGAACTTTTATTTTAAGTTCAGGGGTACGTGTTCAGGATGTCCAGGTTTGTTACACAGGTAAACCTGTGTCATGCGGGTTTGTTGTACTGATTGTTTCATCACCCAGGTATTAAGCCCAGTACCCATTAGTTATTTTTCTTGATCCTCTCCCTCCTCCCACCCTCCACCCACTGATAGGCCCCAGTGTGTGTTGTTGCCCCGTATGTGTTCTCATCATTTAGCTCCCACTTATAAGTGAGAACATACAGTATTTGGTTTTCTGTTCCTGTGTTAGTTTGCTAAGGATAACAGCCACTATCTCCATCCATATTCCTGCAAAGCATGTGATCTAATTCTTTTTTATGGCTGCATAGTATTCCATGGTGTACATGCACCACATCCTCTTTATCCAGTCCATCACTGATGGGCATTTGGGTTGATTTCATGTCCTTGCTATTGTGAATAGTGCTGCAATGAACATACACAAGCATGCATCTTTATAATATAAGAATTTATATTCCTTTGGGTATATGCCCACTAATGGGATTGCTAGGTTGAATGGCACTTCTGACTTTAGGTCTTTTGGGGAATCACCAGACTGTCTTTCACAATGGCTGATCTAATCTATACTCCCACCAACCGTGTATAAGCGTTCATTCCTCTCCACAACCTTGCCAGCATCTGTCATTTTTTTGACTTTTTAATAATAGCCATTCTAACTGGTGTGAGATGGTGTCTCCTTGTGGTTTTGATTTGCATTTCTCTAATGATCTGTGATGTTGAGCATTTTTCATATTTGTTGGCTGCATGTTTGCCTCCTCTTGAGAAGTGTCTGTTCATGTCCTTTGCCCACTTTTTATTGGGGTTGTTTGTTTCATTCGTGTAAATTTGTTTAAGTTCCTTATAGATGCTGGATATTAGACCTTTGTCAGATGCATGGTTTGTAAAAATCTCTCATTTTGTAGGTTGTCTGTTTACTCTGTTGATAGTTTCTTTTGGCATTTTAAATTTTTTAACTTAGAAATCAAGTGTGTACAACACTGAAGAGAAAATTCAAACTCCTCTAGCATGCAAATCTTTCTGTACGATTTTCCTGTAAGACAGGCCTGCAGAGACATGGAAGAATCAGAACAAAGTCAATGGATTGATTTCAACTTCATGTTGAAATTATAGGCAGCTGTAATCTCTGCCCTGCCCATCTTGTATTGATGGAAATAAAGAACGTGGCAGCCTTGTCTCCTACTGGGCTCTCAGTCAGGAAATGGAAGGAAAGGCAGAGTCAGATTAGCTGAGCTGTGGGTGGTGATGGATCTGAAGCAAAGCCATTCCGTGAGGCTGAATGATGGACATGTCATGCCGATGCTGGGATTTGGCACTTATGCTCCTGATCATGTAAGTGGACCCCAGGAGGCTGAAGGGTCTTATATTTTTTTGCACTAAGAGGATGATAAGCTGTTGACTCTGAGAGTTTGGAGGTTAATTTTTTGGATAATTCTTTTTATTATTATTATTGTGACCTAACATATATCAAATGGTTTCATGTATTGTATTTTCCATGCATTATCTTATTTAATTCTTCAACAACCGTCCTTGGTAAGTACTCACTACTTCTTACATTAAAAAAAAAAAAAAAAAAACCCATGCTCAGGCTGCTCTCATCTTCCACCTGCTCAGAGCCGCTCCACTCCTGGTTAGAAATGTGAAGGGCCAAGGGCCTAGGGGGAAGTGGAAACCAACATGAATACTTGCTGGCAGCTTTGCTGTGAGGTTGTTGGGGCTGGAAGTATTTGCCAGGGAGTTTCGACCATCCAAACCTTTTGTCACGTAAGAAGCCACTGTGATTCAGAACATTAGGTAATTCGATGGGAAGACTTAGGGGGCACAACATCACAGTAAGGACTGAAATACAGCCATCCACTCAGTTCATGGCAGAGAACTTGAAGTGTCACACTCTGGTCACGGTAACGTAAGGGCAGCTTTGGGGTTGCTTTGGAGGGATTGCCCCCAAAATGAGAGACCAATGGATGGGCTCAATCTTGGTAGAACTCTGTCATGAGATATCACGAGATAACAGCTGCCAGAAAGGGTCAGTAGGTTTTCAATGACATAATTATCCATTTCATCCATTAGGCATAATGTGTGTCTTACATATGTTATATGTAATGTTTATTACTCTTAGAAAAGACAGAAAAAAGTGCCATAGAGAATAGAACAAAATTCCCCATAACCCCCTCATTTACCATAATAAATTGTAATACGTGCACGTGCTTAATATTCAGACATTTCAAATGCACTAAGTGAAAAAGAAGCTTCCTTAATACTCTAATTGGTGTTTTTACCTTAAGTCACTGCAGGAACGAGAAGCTTTTTTCCTGCGTGTGTGTTGTGCTGTCTTTTGTCCTGCTGTTCTAGGAAGCTTGCTAGGGCAGAATCTCAGATGTAGTCATTAGACTATCCACTGTTTGAAATTTGAGGCAGAGCGTGTACATATTATCATCCTAACGTTGCAACGCCAGCTTGGTGAGGTGACGTCTGTGTCCTGGGTAAAACCAGGCCAACTATTGACTGCAACCCTTACTAATAACATAAACAGTTGATTAACACCTATTTTGCATGTTATATGTATGGTATACTGTATTCTTATAATACAGCAAGCTAGAGAAAAGTAAGCTAGAGAAAAGAAACTCAAGAAAATCATAAGGAAGAGACAATATATTTGCTACTCATTAAGTGGAAGTAGATCATTACAAAGGTCTTCATCCTTGTCTTCTTCACACTGTGTAGGCTGAGGAGAAGGAGGAAGATGAAGGGTTGGGGTTGCTGTCTCTGGGGTGGCAGAGGCAGAAGAGGTGAAGGAGGGGGAAGGGAGGCAGGAGAAGTAGGCACACTTTGTAATTTTGATTGAAAAAAATTCATGTATAAGTGGGACTGTGCAGTTTAAACCTGTGTTATTCAAGGGTCAGCTGTAATATGTATGTAGTGTGTGTGTGTGTGTGTGTGTGTGTGTGTCGATTGACCTGTCCTTCCTATTGAGTGCCTTAGAAAAATTCTCCCAGTATCAGAAGTTTTCCCGTTGGTTATTCTTGTACAATTGATTCATATGGAATGAGATGTGATTTTTCCATGCTCCAGGGTGAAGCCAATTCCACTAATTTATTTGGGAGTAGAAGCTTACAGGAGGTTAGTTGCTGTCCTCGGAGTGTGCAAGTCTATCATGGAAACCCAAATGATCAAAAGGGGAGCAGGAGGCCAGCAGACTATGAAGATGCTATTGGATAGCAGAGACATGGGCTCAACCTAAATGCCCGTCCGTGGTAGACCAGATAAAGAAAATGTGGTACATAAACACCGTGGAATACTGTGAAGCCACAAAAAAGAACTAGATCACGTCCTTTGCAGCAACATGGATGAAATTTGAGGCCATTATCCTAATCAAACTAACACAGAAACAGAAAACCAAATACTGCACGTTCTCACTTACATGTGGGAGCTGAACAACACACAGGGATACTGGGAGGGGAACGACAGACATCGGGACCTTTTGAGGTTGGAGGATGGTGGAGGGAGGGGATCAGAAAAAATATTTATTGGGTACTATGCTTATTACCCAGGTGACAATCTGTACACCAAACCCCTGTGACACAGTTTACACATATAACAAACCTGCACATGTGTCCCTGAACCCAAAGTAAAAGATTAAAAAAAAAAAGGAAAATGCCATTGTGGAAATACATGGATTTTCTCTGAGTCAGGCAGATCGTTGACTCCTCTTACTCCTGTTTTATAGACCCCCAAGAGCAAGGCTGGTGAAGCCACCGAAGTGGCTATTGATGCAGGCTTCCGTCACATTGATGCGGCGTTCTTCTACCAAAACGAGGAGGAGGTCGGAAAGGCCATTCGAGAGAAGATTGCTGATGGCCCTGTGAAGAGAGAGGACATTTTCTACACCACTGAGGTGAAATTTCTGTGTGTGCAGTGGCCAGAGGCCACCGTCAGTTCAGATGTATTATTTAGAAAAACAATGTGGTCTCAGAACAATGTATTTACCTAATATTGTGAAGGCACATTATCAAAACATAGGAACAATGTATTTCTTACCTAATATTGTGAAGGCACGTTATGAAAACATAGAAAAGGCTTTTCTCTGAGATGTGTGAAAGGTGGGACACTGTTCTTCAATGTCTCTGAGCGGCAGGTATTATTCATATATGAGATGAGATCGATAATACTTAAGTAACTGTTATACGATTACCCAAGGCATTCTGGGGCCACTCCGTTGATTGTTCAGTAATTGTTCTCAGGACGTATCAAGTGAGGTTGGGATGTTATTCAGAAAAGGGAGCCAGACTGGGAAATACTTTTTTATTTTTCAACTCAGCATTGAGTTTCCTGAATGTTATAACATTTTCCTAGGGTGGAAAACCTTTCTTCCAATGTAAATAAAGCCTTGGTTACTGGCGATACAGCCTATGCCTGTTTACACTGACGACAACTTGTTTTTAGAATGCATCTCTCAGCAGAATTGTTTTGAGGAATTCATTATACAGGACAGTAGATTCCATTCCCCGTGTCCTGACATTTCTCGACTGCTCTCAGAGGACGATGCCATTAACCCTTGATGCATTAAAGTTGATTTTCCTGCTCCATCTAAGTTTTATTCACAGTTTTCTTACATTGCAGTCATTCAAGTAAATCTCAGCATCTCATCAAGGATGTAATTTACCCTGAATAATACAAATGTAGCCCCAGTTCTTCTAGTTTGAGACCACAGTGTTTTGTTACTCATGTGTCAATTTCTGTTATGTTTAATTTTGGTCCCCAAGTGTGTGAAATCATAAGCTACTTTTTATTTCTTTTGTTCACTGCAGCTTTGGACAACTTTCTTTAGACCAGAATTAGTTCGCCCAGCCCTGGAAGGGTCACTGAAGAAACTTCAACTGGACTATGTCGATCTCTTCATTATCCACAATCCATTGGCTATGAAGGTCAGCTTTTGTTTTTTCCTTCTTATGCCCCAAACAGTTTCATCACTGTTACTAGCACCTCCATTGTCTCATTCCAGCTTGATTTCCTGGGTTCTTTCCGAGAGGGGTAGGTTTGAGTGAATTGCATAGAATTGCTAAATCATTCACGAGTCTCCTTCACAGCCGAATGACATTGCAATTTTCTGTCTGTGCTCATCCCCCAGCCTTAAGCGAGATGCAGGTTCGATGATCTCACTTCCTCTATGCTAGAAACATGAGGGCATTGCCCTGCATTTCTTAGTGCTTGTGTTCCTGAGTGTAGGTTCTGAGCTATTAGGTTACTACAGACTACAGAGATACAACGTGAAATCTCCACCTCTTTATGGTGAGGGTCTCTCCCGTATGTACCCTCAGCCCACAGGAGAGAGAGGTACATGGGATGGCACATGTGGCACAACTGGACTCCTTTGGGCTTCAGTGATCCAACCTCTCATCACAGTGGACATTGGCTGAGCACATCTGATGTCCTCATTATCCAAGTTGGGTGAGCATAAACGGGGGCTAAACACACTGATCAATAGTTATGGTAAGCGCTGTCTTCCACACCAGCCTGTCCTTCAGAAATGAAATAAATTTCAACTGTAGGGACGGCATTCTTAGTGAAGTGTGGGGGTGTATGGAGGAAGGAGCCTGCAGGTAACTGGAGAAAAAGTGTTTTGCTACAGTCTCTCAGACTGTTCTCATCTTTCTTTTTTCCCATGTCTTCTCTTACCAACCCTCACCCCAAACACGCACATGCACATCCACACATATCCATATCCACACACATACACTCATGCACACACACATATGCACACAGGCACACACACATGCACACACATACACACGTCTGCACATGCAGACACACAAGCACATACATCCACACACATGCACGCATGCATGTTCAGATTAATAATCACAGCCTTCTGAAAGTGGTGTGGCTAAGCTCCTTAGGCGCCAGAAAGGGAATTCTCATAGAAAACCTTCTTCTTTATCCTCTGTTTTCCAGCCTGGGGAGGAATTGCTGCCTAAGGATGCCAGTGGAAACATTATTTTTGATACTGTGGATCTTCGTGACACATGGGAGGTATGTTCTGCTGCAGACACCAGGTGGCACTGTGTGGTGAGGTTGGAATCACAGAAGGAGGGGTCAAAAGAGATGGGGTTTTGCTCCAGCAGTTGTTTGACCTCAGACGTGGAACTTCTCTGCGCCTCCGTGTTCTCATCGTTGAAGTGAGGGAGTGGAATGAGATAACCCCTACGGTCCATTTTTAATTTTAACTTCTATGGCTCTACATAGACATGGAAGCAGCTTTACCCCTGAGATCAGGTTGAGGACATGAGCCCTAAAGAGGAGTCAGCATAGAGAAGCACAAAAGGAGTCAGCGCTTTATCCCGGGACAGAAACACATCACAGAGGAGGAATAGCTGCGGCCTGACTCAGCAGGAGGGTGGAAGGTGCAGGACAGTGAACCCGCCCTTGCAACACCTATACCATTCATTTATTTTTATCGTTGTAGAAAGAGGTAGCAACAAACCCTTTACTAGAGGAAAAGCTGAGAGTTTCTTTTGCCCTTGACTATGGTGTAGTTTGTTAACTATTGCATCCTAACAGCAAAATAGGTACCATAGAAGAGAGTGGGATAGGTAAGAGGAAATGGAAAAGCAGCTTTATGTTTATTTGGTGTCCCCAGTGTGCATGTAATAGAATTAAGGAGACAAATATGTACGCAGAACAAGAAAAGGCATTCAAAATTAATTTATTCAAGGGATAAAACGGTTTGATTCATTATAATCGTAGTATATCATAAATCAGATTTTCGGTTTATAAAAAGTCAGTGACAAACGAAATGGACAAACTACAGTAAAGGTCTACCACCCATTTCCTCCCTCCCCAGGCCCTGGAGAAGTGCAAAGAAGCAGGTTTAACCAAGTCCATCGGGGTGTCCAATTTCAATCACAAACTGCTGGAACTCATCCTCAACAAGCCAGGGCTCAAGTACAAGCCCACCTGCAACCAGGTGAGCCGTTAGCCCACCGGGGCCTTCTCTGACTTTCTGCTCTTTACACACTTCCTGCTTAATCATGCTTCCAAGTTTCTGGCTTTATATCACCTGTGTAGATGACAGCTACTTTCATAGAAATAGAAAATACTAGAGAAAAACAGTTTGAGTGGAGTAGAAGAGCCTGACTTCAGTTCTTTGGGGATGGGTGTGAAGTTCCTATGAGACAGCCAAGCGGAGGCAGAGTTGGGAGGTGGTCGCTTTGGTCTGGAGCTCAGGGGGTGGAGGTGGAGACACAGTGTTTGAAATTATTGCTGTATAGATGGTAACAACTCACAGACAAGGATTAGCTCTCCTAGGGAAAGTTCATGGAATGAAAAGGAACAGGCAGGAAAGTTCACAGGAGAGGGTGAGGCAGAGAGGCACTGGCAAGGAGATTGAACAGGAGCTGCCAGACAGGTGGAGACAGCCAGGAGACTGTGGTGTCGGGAGCCAAAGAAAGAGCATTGAAGTGGCTTGAGTCAGACATAGGTAGGTCCTACTGTGAGCAAACACTCCAATAGGGAAAGATAAAAGTGGCTGGATTTAGTGGCATGGAGGTTATGGGAAGCCATGCAGGGCCTGATCCAGAGTGGTAAGCACTAAAGCCAGATCAGAGGAAAGGAGTGAGAAAGAGGAGGTGTATAAATCGTAATCAAAACATATGATTTTAAAAGAAACATCCAATATAGCCAAATATCAAACATGATTTATGACATTGTTAAGTTTAAAGCTTTGTGTAGACCATTTTGATAATTATACAAAAAGCAGTTCAAAAATGTATACTCTGTCTTAGTTTTATATTTCTAGGGATATTTGTAGACAAGACGTGTTAAAAACTCCCATCTATATTATATAGTAATATAATATATATTAACATATATATATAATTTCTAAAACCAAATGATTAGAATTTTGAATATCCACAAATGAGGAATTAATTAAAGTTCTGATGGCTTCATAGAGATCTTTGAGAGGATATTATGAAGACTAATAGCAAAAAGGGAAAGCTTATGTTATAATATTATATCAAAAGTATATCAGAGAATTATATACTATTCTGTTTTTCAGGATGCTTTTAAGCCACAAGAAACAGAAAACTCAATTCAAACGGGCTTAAAGTTGATTCATTTATAGAAAGTTTGGGTCTTTGTTGCTCTAGAAGCTGTAAGATACTCTCTTGAAATGAATATATTTTGTCTGTGCTCCATGTTTGATCGCTTCAGAATGGCTCCTCATGGCAATTGGGCTATAGGTCTCCTCATTCATGTTCAGCACAGCAGAGAGGGTTTTCTGGAGCTGTTTCTAAAGAGAGAAGAATAATGGTCACAGAAGTTTTCTAGCAATTTTTTTCTCATGTTTCATTGGCTTGAACAACATATTGTGCCTTTCATAAACCAATTAATGTAAGAGAAAGGAAGTTTGTGACACAAAAGTGTGAACTGGCTTCTTCTGGGGCACAGAAACTGAATATGGAGGAAGGGAGAAATAACTGAACAAAATCAGGATTCTTATAAAATATGCTAATCTATACTATTCAGTACATATACTAATTTTAAATTATTTAACATCTTAAGAATAATAAAAATGACTAAAATTAAGCACACAAAATGATTAGAGGTTGCTACGTGGTTCTGGTAAAATTCTAGGTGACCTTGTTGTATTTTTTCCTATATCTGACATGAAAATATTTCTTTTATAACTTTTAAAAGTTTTTATTTTTGTAAATTTTTAAAAAAAGATATAGAGAATATGAGGAGTTCAAAAAGTTCATGGAAAAATGGAATTAAAAGATGTTTATAAATATATGAACTATTTTTCAAAATAAGCTTTACCAAATTCAGTATAGTTTTTAAAGCATAAGTATATGCTTATGAGTATATGAACTAAGTATGTGAACTAATAGCAAATAGTAGCCATTTAGTTCATCTCTAAATAACTGAGAGTCCTGGTAATTTAATCATGTCAATGTATTCTTTTTATTTTTTACATTATTAACTGTAAGAAAAAGAGTCTCTGTTAAAGATTCTTAAAGATTCAGACACAAAAAGAACTCAGAAGGAGCCAAACCAGGACTGTAAGGTGGATGACTAATGATTTTTCTATCAAAATTCTTGCAAAATTGCCCCTGCTTGATGAAAAAAACGAGTAGGAGCATTGGTATGGTGAAAAATAATCTCTGGTGAAGCTTTTTGTGGGTGTTTTCATACTAAAACTTTGGCTAATTTTCTCAAAACAGTTGCTATTCTTCTTTAGCCCTCCAGAGAGTCAATAAGCAAAATGCCCTGAGCATCCCAGAAAACTTGCTATGACCTTTTCTCTTGATTAATCTCCTTTTGCTTTGCCTGGATCATTTCCACATCTTGGTAGCGATTGCTTTGATTTTGCTTTGTCTTCAGGATTGTACTGGCAAAGCCATGTTTCACCTCATTTTACAATTCTTTGAAGATGCTTCAGGATCTTGATCTCCCTTACCTAAAATTTCCTTGGAAAGCTTTGCTCCTGTCTGTAGCTGATCTGGCCACAACAGTTTCGTCACCCATGAATTGGAAAGTTCACTCAACTTAAATTTTTCAGTTACTATAGTGTAAACTGAACCAGTTGAGATATCTATGGTGTTGGTTATCATTTCTGCTGTTAATCATTGGTCTTCTTTAATGAGGGCACTAGTAAGATACATTTTTGTTTTCCTGCAAATTGATGTGAATGGTATGCTGTTGCGGGCTTCATCTTCAACATCATCTCGTTCCTTCTTCAAATGAATTATTCATTTGTGAACTTCTGATTTCTTTGGGGGATTTTGCCCATATATTTTGTGTAAAGAGTCAATAATTTCACCATTCTTCCACCCATGCTTCACAATAAATTTGATTTTTGTTCTTACTTCAATTTAGCTGAATTCATGTTTTTCTGATAGGGGAGTTGTTTTATCTTTCTCAATGCCTCAAACTAGATCCTGTTCAGACACATCATAACAAATTAGTACAAGTTTATTTTGGAGCATTTTTTTTTGAAATCCATGTATGGTTTTTTCATAATGCACATTTTCAATCAATTTTTTGAATATCCCCTCATGTTATAATCATTTTCTTTTTATGTACCCATCATCACACTTAAGCAATAATTATCTCACAACCAAACATGTTACGTAGATAATTCTACCTCTGTATTATTTTGAAGCAGACATGATATCATTGTATCTGAAAATGTTTTGTAAAATATTTTAAAAATCTCTAAATCTTTAAATAAACATTGCCAGAATACTTTTATACCACTTGAAATTGTAGCAATAATTTCTTGTTGTTAGTAAATATCATGAGTGCTAAAATATAATTTTATCATATTTTTAAAGTTGATTCATTTAAATTGATGTGGAAATAAGGCCCATACATTGCAATTGGATGATATGTCTCATAAATCACTCTTTTTTTTTTTTTGAGACTGAGTCTCGCTCTGTCACCCAGGCTGGACTGCAGTGGCACGATCTTGGCTCACTGCAACCTCCACCTCCTGGGTTCAAGCTATTCTCCTGTCTCAGCCTCCTGAGTAGCTGGGACTATAGGCATGCACCACCATGCCTGGCTAATTTTTGTATTTTTAGTAGAGACGGTCAGTCTGGTCTCAAACTCCTGACCTCATGATCTGCCCGCCTCAGCCTCCCAGTGTTTTGGGATTACAGGCGTGAGCCACTGATCCCGGCCAAATCACTCTTTCAATAAATAAGTTTGTTCTCTTCTTTTTTTTTTTTTACTTCTCTCCTCCTCTTCCTCTTCTGCCTCCTCTGTCTTCTCTTTCTTCTCTTCTTCCTTCTTCTCCTCCTGCTCTTCTACCTTCTCTTCCTTCTCTTCTTCCATAGTCCTCATTCTCATTCTGCCTCTTTCTTTCCTTCAATTTACTAATGAAAACTTAAGCCTTTTATTCCTGTAAAGTTTTCCTCCGTATAGGATATACTGGTTGATCCAGTGATACAATTTAACATGTTCCTTTTGTACTTTCTGTAAATTGAAAGTTAGAGCTAAAGATTTGATCACAATTGGTTAACATCATTTGAACTCATGAATTTTAACAAATATGTCCTTTTCCCAACCATTGTAGTTACTATGCCTTTTGTTGCTCAACTTGCCATCATTTTGACCAGCAGGAGCCTTTTCAATTGAGCTTCTTGGTCCTTTGACTTGCCTCATTTTCTTTATGTTCTTTGCCATTTAGAATGTAAGCTGTTCTAGGCTGAACTTGTAGCTTCCCCAGTCAGAACTAGAATTAGCCATTTTTCTAAGAAATCTTGGTTTGTCTGAGTAGAAATGTCATTTAGAGACTATAATTTGGGCACGAGAGATGTTAATCATTTTAAAACACTAATAAAAAAAGAATAAGTAAGTTATCATGTTAGTATGACCACTGATGGAATTTGAAAGCATTTCAGAAGGTGCATGGGGAAAATGACCAATATGAAATACATAGTACATATATTAATATAGTACTAGATATTCCTTCAAAGCATTTTAAAATTTACATGTGGTTATTTGCTCATGTATTCTGACACCTTTTGGTCTTGAAAAATTACAGGTGGAATGTCACCCTTACCTCAACTAGAGCAAACTCCTGGAGTTCTGCAAGTCCAAGGACATTGTTCTAGTTGCCTACAGGGCCCTGGCATCTCACAGAGACCCAAACTGGTAATAAGAGTATCGAAGAGTTAATCTATATCAGCAACTCTATTGATTAAGAAACTTTTAGCATTTCATTCTAGATCAAGTCAAACATAGAACAGTGAACACAACGGTGCAGTGAATTCCCATGTGACACCACTGAGCTTCAATGTCACCAACATTCCTTCCCTCCTGTTTCATTTGTATATCTGCCTTCTCCCAACCCCACTCCAAATACAATTTCAAAGTGATTTGAAGGTGAAATTTACATAGACTGTAATGCATATACGTTAGCTGTACAATTTTGATAAATGAATGTACTTTGTAATCCACATTATTGTCATGATATGGAAACTTTCTCCCAAAAATGTTAATTGGTGTTCCTTCTGAGACAATTCCTCCCCACCTCTAGGCAACTATGTTCATAACGTTTTCGGTCTTAGATTAGTTTTGTCTGCTGTAGTACTTTATGTAAAGAAGTCATATATATTCTTTGGTGTAGCTTCTTTTGCTCAACCTGTCTGTGACATTCATTCCTGTAGTTGCAGGTGTCTGTTCTTTCCATTTTACTGCTGGGAAATATTCCATTATATGGACATGTACACCACAAGTTGTTTATCCATTCACCTATTGATGGGCAGTTTAGTTGTTTCCAGTTTGCCACAATTGCGAATAAATCTCTATGAATATTTATGAGACACCTTGAAACATACTATATTGTGTCTTCTCTCATTGTCTGGGGCTTTGGGCAAAAGGGTAGCACACTCTAGATTTTTCATCTATACTCTTCATATCTGTTGTTTTTCTCCAGGATGGACCCAGATAGCCCATATCTCTTAGAGGAGCCAACCTTGAAATCCATTGCCAAGAAATACAATAGAAGCCCAGGCCAGGTTGCCCTGTGCTATGAGCTGCAGCGGGGGGGTGGTGGTCCTGGCCAAGAGCTTCTCTGAGAAGAGAATCAAAGAGAACTTCCAGGTACAGGTCAAGTGGTGTTGCTCCAAAGTGAGCCATGGGCGCTGGTCTGGGTGATCTCTCTTCCAGGGGGGAATGCACCATATGTCATTCATGCCCGTGCTTCTCTCCTCTGTGTGCTAAGGGAGGGGGCAGGATGGAAAAGTGCGAAGAGATCACTGGATTCACAGTCCTAAAGTTTATCACCTCTAGGGCTGGCTTTGCCACTCACTAGTTGTGTGACACTAAGCAAATTTCAACTCCATCATTTTCATGAGTTTCAGGAGTTCTACATGGTAAGGAACTTTAAGGACCTTCATTTCTCTCCTTCACCATCTCTATCTGACAAACCTCTATTTGTATTTTATGATCAAACTCAAATAGGATTACCTGCTTTGTTACATATCATACATACATAACCATTGGGACACTCTAGCACATTTTTCACCACAATAGTGCCTGGCATGGTTCTGTTAGTGAGTCTTTTCCCTTTTAACTTAACATTGTTTGCTAAGATGTCAGTGTGCTCTCTGGACTGTGAGACCCTAAATGCTGTGACTCCTTCTGGGTCATCTTTTATCACCTTTCCCCTGGCAGTGCCCCGGGCTGGTAGGAAGCTAGGTATAATTTCATAGACTGACCAAATTATTAATAGTAAATCAATGAGTAAAGATTTTGCCTGAAGCCTTCCTCATATACACTCCAATCCATTAGATCAATCAGTGGTCTTTAATTTACTTTGTTTTGAATTCTAAAAGAATTTTGAAAGACTATGTATGCTGTTTTCCATTTAAAGATGGCAGCTAGAAAAATCAACATGAGTTTAGTTATTACAAAGGATGATATTTGAAGCATATTTTCTAATGTATTTGTTTCACAACTTTGTAGCTCTAGATTAAAATTTTTAAGTTATACAAAAATCAAATAGGCAAATCTAAACCTTGTTACCATACAGAAAAAAATCTTATTTTATTTTATTTTTCAATTTAACTCAACATATTAATACATATCCCTGTGACAACCATGTCATTTCTGGAGTATATTTTTAAGATGAATCACTGATGGGTAAATGTATGGGTGGATAGGTAGATAATGGACAGATATAGGTAGAGAGAGAGAGAGAAACACATTAGATAGATATGTATATCATAGATGGACGGAGAGATAGATAGATAGGGCTCTGAGTTTTCCATCTTCTGCATGAAATAATGAACTTAATTTTTTTAAACCACATATCTTTTTCTTTGCTTTAAGGGATTCTTCATCAGGGGACTATGTGTCAATGTGTTTTCAAATAAAAACAACTCTTGGCTTAAGTAAGATAAATATATTCAAAAAAGGTTTTTTTTGTTGTTTGTTTTTTTTGTTTTGTTTTGTTTTGTAAGGAAGTAGTATTTGGTAGTACTTAGTAGTAGCTGGAAATAGTATTTGGGGGCCTGCAGTGAGCAAGTGGTATGGTGGAACAATTGATCAAGAAATGCTTTTCTAAGGCCAAAACATTCTTGGAGCAAGGTTGTCTTGTGTTCCAAGGCTTGCACAGTCAAAGACTGGGTCAAGTTCCAGGGGAAGTGAGTAAGGAAAATCCTGACCAAGTGTGATCAAGTCAAGGAAGCAGGTATTTTGTCCAGATTTGCCTTTGTTTAGTATAAAGAATTTATTTTTTCTGTCTCAAGCAATTCTCTAGAAATGTCTTAGATTGATAAGTTGTCTTTCTTTTGAGAAGTGGAGCAGAGCAGGAGGGAGGTGGGATGGAAAAGTAGCAGAACTCAGGGGGAAGAGGTCTCACCTAGAGGCCAATGAGGACAGAAACTTTACATACTGCCATCCTTGCCTCTGCCCCCGGAAAGCCTTGTATTCCCAGGAAGAAGCTGCTGTCCTGGGGAAAGGTTAATGTGAGTGTTTTCTTCCTTTCAGGTTTTTGACTTTGAGTTGACTCCAGAGGACATGAAAGCCACTGATGGCCTCAACAGAAATTTCCGATATGCTAAGTTACAATTGTAAGTCATGCTTGCAGATTCTTTCACAGGCTGTTTTCTGTAATATGCAGGCAAACAGAGGAATACATCTTCCCTAAATCAGGAAGGCAGGCCAGATTTCAGGAATAGGTATGAAACAGGAGCTTCCCTATAGTCCTCATGTGGCTCAATCTGTGACCCAACAGGAATGTGAGTCAGTAAGTGAAACTGTTGACATCTGCACCATTGTGAATGCACTTCTTCAATTTTTTTTTTTTTTTTTCTGAGACAAAGTCTTGCTCTATTGCCTAGGCTGGAGTGCAGTGACACGATCTCGGCTCACCGCAACCTCTGCCTCCCGGGTTCAAGCAATTCTCCTGCCTCAGCCTCCTGAGCAGCTGGGATTATAGGCGTTTGCCACCACGCCCAGCTAATTTTTGTATTTTTAGTAGAGACAGGGTTTCACCATGTTGGCCAGTCTGGTCTCGAACTCCTGACCTCGTGATCTGCCCACCTCGGCCTCCCAAAGTGCTGGAATTACAGGCATGAGCCACTGTGCCCCGCCATGAATGCACTTCTTTAGTGCCCTTACTACCTGTGCCCGGTCCTGCACGCAGGGCCACTGCCTATTAGAATAGAAGGCACGGTGTCTATGACCCATCATACTTATAGGAGCCCATGATAATGTTCTAGCTTTAATTTATTTTAAAGTCAGAAGAAAAAGAGAATACAACAATGATGAATATGTAATAATGAATCCAGCCTCGTCTATCTTCATGTCTATACCAAGGCAATGTAAGACTTAATTTTAATATTTGTATAGAGCATTGGTCCATGAAAGCAAATGTGCATATGTCCTAGGGAAGTCACAGTGGGCCCTGCTTCCATGGCCTCCCCTAAGTGTCCAGTGACATTTCTCCTTACTGTGGCATTCCTTTTCCGAGACACCAACTATTTCTTCCAAATTTTTGTCTTCCTTGGCTTTCTTTACCTTCACAACTCCCATTTCCTCAGCTATATAATCTCACTAAGCTGAATGACAAATGAATTATGAAATTAATAGACCCTCAGTGCTAGTGACTGAGGTGTCCCCAGTGGCCTCCACCAAGTTAAGATCCTCTGGAATTTCTCCGGATCTTCGAGGCAAGACTCTTACTCCAGTGTCATCTTCGTCCATCTGAAGCCCACCTCTAAGGAACCCAACATAACTTCACTTTAGTTTATTCACAAACATGACGTTCCATTGGATCAACTGTGGCAGGATCTCAGGGTTGAGGAGAAAGATGACTAATCAAACAGAGCCAAGTTTGGAGGGGAGTTTAGAAACAGGGCGAAATATCATTTTAGTTAGGAAAATACTCAGTCTCCAAAACACATCTGAAAGGTCCCCCTTCTTTTTGTAAAACCATACCAGGCTTCCAAGAAAAGACATTTTCAATGAGAAAAATGTGAAAGCAACCTTTCTATACTCACAGGCCTTAAGTATAATCTGTGATCTGCCTCATGAGACTGTGAATGTCTCCTCTTACTCATCTCTGTGGCCCTATGTTAATACAGCTCCTGGTGCATTTAACTGCTTAGAAAGTACTCTTTAATGACACTCAATTAAAAAGAACGAATTATAAAAAAGAAAGCCCTTTTTGCCATTAAGGTAACATATTTTCAGGTTCCAGAGATAAGGGCATGTATGTCTTTGGGGGCCATTACTGAGCCTACTACACTAGTTTTGTAAGTAAATTTAGAGCAACTAAACTTTAGTTTTCTAATTTTTGTAATAGAAAGAATTCTATGTCCAGCCACTGGATCCTGAAACTCTAGACTTTTATCTCAGATATCAAGAGGAAAACCACATGAATAAATACCTGTTTCTTTAAAGCTGATGTAATCTTGACCCTATTGTATTTCCTCCTTCTGGATACATGCCCTTCATTATTTTATTCTAAAATTTATTCTCAGGATCTGTTGACATTGTCTTTTGTTGTTCATATGGAAAACTCAAGCTTTTCAGTTTGCCAACATTCTCAACTCTTCAGAATTTCTACTGATGTCTAGATTATACTTCAGGCAATGGATCCCATGTTTACTACTTAAACGTGCTTCATCTATGAAACCTTCAGTTGGACACATCTTATATTAATGAAGTCTCTTAACTCTGCAGTTTCTACTATACCTTGATTTATCAAGTTCTTGATTCATCAAGAGTTGTCATTAGGTCTCTCTTCTTTCCTCTTTGCATTCTTTCAATACCCATAGAAGTTTACGTATGAAAATTAGGCTAAATAATATACTAAATTGAAATTGATCAGACTCCACTTATTCTACACAAGTAAGTTTGGAAACATCTAATTTAAAGAAAAGCACTTTCTCACTATGGTTTCAGCAGTCAAGATGATTGCCTTTCCAACATCAGTTTTACTTTAAATAATTTGTTTAGGTCAGCCATGCTAATTTCATTGTGGTTGGCATAGGAGTCACTGTGGATAAAGAGTTGTGACCCAGCCTTAGCCAACGCCACATAAGAAGCACTGTGCTGGGTACTTCTAGGAGAGTTTCTCTCACTTCTAAGAAGGAGCCTTTGAAGAGAGGTTGCTTCTCTTCTTCAAGGGGATATTGTCCCATTGCAAGGTGAGGTGTGAAATTGCTGTGGAGTCTCCACCCAGCCTGAGGACGACATCAATACACAGAAGAAGAAAAAGGAGAAGATGAGAGAAATTCTGCACTCTCATGGATGACACCCAGAGTTTACCCTCCCTCTGGACTTCTTGTTATGGGACTAACACATTTTTGTGGATTTTAAACCAATTTGAATTACTTTTTTTGCACCTGCCTGTACTCTAATCCAAACAACCATCCAAGTTAATAATTTTCTCTTTACAATGCACCCTGCATTTTGTACCTATACAAGAGTGGTCAGAATGTGTGAAAACTGCTGAGTCATCCTGACAGCATGGCTCCAGTAGATTCTAGGGGTCGGCTATAGTATTGAGTGATATTAAAATAACAAATAATGCACAAAAGGCATGGATCTAAAAAAGTCTTTAGGAATCTTCACTCACTGAGAGCTCATATTCAGGACACAGTTTCTTCTTCAAATCACCTTGGACAAGTAAGTAACCCTTTTTGTTCCCTTTTCTGTAAAATAAGTTACAAGTTAAATCTACTTTGTAGGGTATTTGAGAGGATTCCCTGATAGTCTTGCCTGATACAGAATAGAAACTCAAAATCTTAGCTAGTAGCGTTGGTGTCATTGCTATTATCAGCACTATAATTTCCCTTGAGTTAGCCAGAAGAAATACTAAGTTTATTGGACAGTGAGTACAGGGTTGCCTTGCTCAGATGTACTGAGCCTACTGTCAACTTTAAGCCGCTCTCTGTGAGGTTAGAGTTTATCTTGGTCTGGGAGGACCAAGCAGAGTGCTTTAGAGATGACAAGCACAGCTGTGTTAAGAGACAACTTCCAAAGTTTGTGACCACATAGGATAAGTTACTCTAACTTTCAGTGCAGTTGAGCAAGAGTCCTTGATTGGTTTCTGTTGTGAATGCCAATATTTTTGTGTCATTTTGTGGGATCTTCCAGACACTGTCTGAGAGAAAATCTCCATAGCCTGGAGAGGAAGAAAAATGTCTGGATGGTGGGGTTTTGTCTCCTAGCACAGTTACCACCCAATGACCATCCTTCTTTACTTTTACAGGCCATTATGTTAAGCCTTTTTCATTTGTTGCTCTCCCATATCCCTATTTAGACTTTGATATCTGAAGGTGGAAACCATCCCTTTTCCCTCTGGAGCTGGAGTGATGTTCACGGAAGGCAAAGCAGCTGGGCCTGAATGGGGCTAAGCTCTGGGAGCCATGAGTGTCTCCACAGAAACAGAGCAGGACACCCGGAGGGACCACCCAAAACCTTGGGTCCGTTTGTGAGGCCATCAGATCCTCAGCTGGCATTTGACAAGGAGGATCAAGGTTGCAACAGCCTAAAGAAGTTTAATTTCAAGAAAACAGGTAACTTTTCTTTCTTCTTACTCATCTGAATTTGTGGATTGAAAATTATTTGCACCATATAGAGGAGTTTTCTAACTATCAAAGCACCAACAGTGGAGTTATTTGCTGCAGGACATGTTGAAATGATTCTCATTGAAGACAACTGGATGAATTCCCAGTGATGTTTGAAATGCAGGTTTGCCAGAGGAAAAGTCTGTTGAATTCTGTTTTTGAGAACCAGACATTTTCTTATAGATTAGGATAAACTCCTTGCATAATAAAGGTGTTTATCCATGGACTTCACATTTTATTCCTGTTGCTGTCTGATACTTTCCCCAATTACTTGGTTTAATTTGGCCTTCAAGCTCCCCTCCAACCCTGAGAGGCTGTTAGTGTGAACCCAGAAAGATTTATTCTGTCCCATGTTTTTATTTCTCCTGGAGCACAGTAGCACGAAAGAGGAGTGGATAGTATCCCCAAAATACAGAAGGGAGGAAACGGATGTGGAGAGAGAGGGAAGTAACCAGGGTACTTTGTCCACCTTCACATGATCCTAGGGATTATCCTGTGTCACAGGCACTTCAGAGTTGTTTTATTTTGGTGGTGTCTAAAAGATTTTAGTCTTAAAACACACATCCAGCCTGGGCCACAGACGTTGTCTCTACAAATAATAAAATAATTAGTCGGGCGAGGTGGCATGCGCCTGTGGTTCCAGCTAATAGGGAGGCTGAGGTGGAAGGATCACCTGAATCCAGGTGGCTGAGACTACGTAAGCTATGATGGCACCACTGCACTCCAGCCTGGACGACTCCTTCTCATAAAACCAAACCAATCCACACACACACACAGAGAAGAGAAACAGAGTTTACTTTTGAATATCGTTGAGAGAATATACTGAATTGCCTGGCGTGATGCGAATGAAGCAACATAGTTCTGTTCCTATAACAAGGACATTGGAAACAAAATTTTCACCAGTTGTAGCATTTCCAATTAGTCTAGTTGGGAGTCACCAGGATTAGATCAAAGTATAAATCCAAAGACTGTCAGAAAATATTCTGAATTCAGGAGAGAAGGGAAATCATGATAGAACAGGAAGTCTGATCTGTGTACAATCAGAAGATATCATAATCCAAATTTTACATCAAGTTAGGGGTACATGCAGGGTTTAACTCTGGAGAAACTTCACACAGAAGTCTGAAGACACCAAGAAGTGTCTTGGCAGCTGAGTAAAGGCAGCTTGGGATGAAGTTGAGAGTGCTGGGCATCTGCCAGGAAATTTCATGGTATTCAGCTTCATCAGAAATATGACTTGCAACTAAATATTTTTATCCCATTCTATAGGTTGCTTTCTGATGCTTAGTAGTCTCTTTTGATGCAAAAATGTTTTAATTTATGAAGTCTCATTCATCTATGTTTTCCTCTGTTGACTGTGCTTTTGGTGTCACTTGCATTTGATTTTCAGCAATTTCAGCCCTGTGGCTGTAAGACATAGGATTCTCACTCAGCGCACACCTAGAAGCTCTTAGGTCATGTGTGCTTAATCCAGGATTTTGAATTCCTGAGCTCACCCTTTTTTTTCTTCCTCTTTCCAGCAATATGAGGTGCAACTAACCAACATCATTCTATTCTTAGTTTTCCACAAATGTTTGAAAGTATCACATACAGAGTCACTATTTTTTTTGCCTCTTTTAAGTTGTTAAGTAGAGTATCAATGCAGATGTTTTGTGCACTCTATAAATACTTCATATCATGGACTATCAGTGCTCTCTTCATTATTGGAAATAAAGTCCTTCGCATTTTCAAGTCTAATCTGATTAGACTGACAATGCCAGAAACCCCAAAACCAATTCAGGAAACTCAAAATTCTATTCCTCTAGAACTGCTCCAGATACCAAAATCTATATTAGTCAGGGTTGTCCCAAGAAACAAAACATATAGTGTGTGTGTGTGTGTGTGTGTGTGTGTGTGTGTGTAAATGAAAGAGGAAATCTCACATGAAAGACTCAATCAATGCAGCAAACTTTATTTTATTTTATTTTATTTTAAATAAATGACCACAGCCACCTCACCCGTTAGTAACCACCACCCTGGTCAGTCAGGAGGCATCGACATCATATCTAAAACCTCCACTATCAACAAGATTATGACCTGCTGAAGGTTCAGATGACTATTGGCATTTCTCAGAAATAAAATATTTTTAACAAATGCATGCATATTTTTTTCTTTAGCTGTAATGCTATTGCACACTAAATATATGACAGTATAGTGTAAACATAACTTTATATGTACTGGGAAATCTAAATATTTGTGTGACTCATTTTATTGTCATATTTGCTGCATTGCAGTAGTCTAGAATTGAACTTGCAATATCTCTGAGATATGCTTGTATATAATATGTTGTCTATATCTTATCACAGTTTTTGACTAAATTTTATTTTTCCTGGTCCTAGTATAGCCACCACAGCTCTTTTTTGTCACTGTTTTTATAGAATATCTGTTTCTGTCTTTCACTTTCATACTAGTCACATCTATAGATGCAAACTGAGTTTCTAGTGCTGAGTATATAGTTGGATCTTGTTTCTTTTAATCCATTTTGCAAATTGATCTGCCTTTTGGTGTGGGGGTTTAATCCATTTACATTTAAAGTATATTCATGTGCTGCATAACAACATTTTGGTCAATGATTGACCATATATACAACAGTGGATTTATAAGATTACAAAACCTATTACTGCTCCTTTTATATGTTTATGTACACAAATACCATTGTGTTACAATTGCCTTATAGTATTCAGTAGAGGAACATGCTGCACTCTACTGTTTATAGCCTACAGGCAATGGTCTAGACCAGAAAGCCTATAGTAGAATATACCATTTAGATTCATGTAAGTTCACTCTATGGTGTTCACATGATGCTTGAATTGCCTAAAAATGCATTTCTCAGAATGTATTCTTATCATTAAATGACAGATAACTATAATTAGTGACAGCAACTTAATTTTGCATTTTAATATTTTTCTTTTCCTGTATGTCTATAGCATTTTGTTCTTCATATCCTCCATTACTAACATTTTTTTGTGTGTGTCACTGATTGATTTTTAGGGACACTTGGATTTCCCTCTCATTTTCACTTGTGTATATTCTATAATTGTTTTCTTTGTGGTTACCATGAAAATGACATAAAACATCCTAGAGTTATAAAATCTCCTTTGAAATCAATACACATTTAATTCTGTACATAAATTCCCCTTTTCCACATCTGTGTTTCTCTCAACTTCACATTACTGATGTCACTAATTACAACCTCATACATTGTGTACATGTTAACATAGATTTATAGTTATTTGTACACATTTGAATTTTAAATTTTTTTTTTTTTTTGAGACAGAGTCTTGCTCTGTTGCCCAGGCTGGTGTGCAGTGGCACAATCTTGGCTCACTACAAGCTCCGCCTCCCAGGCTCATGCCCTTCTCCTGCCTCAGCCTCCCAAGTAGCTGGGACTACAGGCGCCTACCACCATGCCTGGCTAATTTTTTATACTTTTTAGTAGAGATGGGGTTTCACCATGTTAGCCAGGACGGTCTTGATCTCCTGACCTCATGATACACCTGCCTTGGCCTCCCAAAGTGCTGGAATTACAGGCATGAGCCACTGCACTCAGCCAAATTTTAAAACTTGAACAGAAAGCTAGTATAAACAAAACTTTCAAAAATACATGTTTTTGTATTTTGTCCCATATTTACCTTGATGAGAGGTCTTTATACTTGATACGACTTTACATAACCATCTAATCTAACATTCTTTTATTTCATAGTGAATTACTCCCTTAAGCATTTCGTGTAGAGTAGTTCTAGTGGCAATGAGCTCTGTCAGCTTTTGTTTATATCACATTGTCTTTATAACTTCCCAATTTCTGAAGGTCATTTTTGTCAGATACAGAATTCTTGGTTGGCAAGTTTTCTTTTTTCTTTTACCAATTAAAAAATATATATAATCTCATATGCCCTCCAAGGTGTCTGATAAGAAATCTCCTGATAACTTCATCCAGAATTCCTTGTACCTCATGAGTTATGTTTCTCTTGCGGCTTTTCAAATGATCTCCTTGTCTTTGGCTTTTGAGAGTTTGATTATAATGTATGTGGGTCTGGGTCTTTTTCAGTGTATTCTCTCTGCAGATCTTCAAGTTTCTTGTATTTGTAGATTCATGTCTTTCATCATATTTGAACCATTCTTTTTCATCTTTTTCTTTCCAACTTTTATTTTAAGTTCAGGGGTATATGTGCAGGTTTGTTTCATGAGTAAATTTCATGTCATGGCAGGAGATGTACAAATTATTTAGTCACCCAGGTAATAAGCATACCTATATAACAAACCTGCACATGTATCCCTGAACATAAAAGTTAAAAAAATAATTTTTTAAAAGTCCTAAAAACTCCAAACATACACATTTGTATAGGAAAATCATGTAGGTGGATACACATTAAGTATTTTTCAATGGGAATATTACAGCTTATTTTTGTTCTCTTGTTACAGGCTGAAAGAATGAGAGTTGTGACCAACTCAGTATACCACTGGAGGCTATATGAGCAAACAGAAAACTGTTCTTATGAAAGCAGGATGTTGGAAAACTGATAACTGTGTCTGCCGCCAGAAGGGGTGCTGAGGGCAGTCAGGCCTCATGCACAGTGTTCCTTGTGATTATCTATAGGAACATCTGAAGCCTGTTGTACAAAGAAAGCAATTATGTGGACCTGTGATAAATCAAGCAGTGGACCAACCATTAGCTCTCCCTCCCTGCTCTTTCTACCTAACAAATATGAAAGACTGTAGAAACTCAGGGCTGCCTTTGCTCTCTAGAAGCAAGGAGCCCCTGACCCCCTCTTTCAAAATAGGTCTTTTCGTCTTTGTCTTTACTTCTGCATTCGACCCCCTTCATTGACCCTGTAGAAACTGTCAGTGACATTCTCTTTTCCCTTGTATTTTCTAAATTTTCTATAATTTGCATGTTATTTTAATAATTAGTGAGGGCATCAAAGAAGTGGATTTACAATGGTGCAAACATTGGCAGTTTCAGTTAGGAACTCATATTCCTGTTGGGTCAGAGATTGAGCCCTGGAGGAAACCTCTGGTCTGAGGGCTACAGGGAAGCTCCTGTTTCATGCCTATTCCTGAAATTAGGCCTGTCCCTCTGATTTAGGGAAGATTTATTCCTCTGTTTGTCTGCATACTACAGAAACAGCCTGTGAAAGAATCTGCAGGCATCACTTACAATTGTAACTTAGCATATTGGAAATTTCTGTTGAGGACATCAATGGCTTTCATGTCCTCTGGAGTCTACTCAACAATTTTTCTTCAAAGTCTAAAGGAGATTTTTTCTTCCAGCATAATATTCCGTGCAGTGCAGAAAGTCTTTTCTTTTGCCTTTTGGTAAATGGCCTAAGAGATTTTACAGTTTATTGAGAGAATTCCTATGCCATTATCATTAAGTTTTGGTTTGCTTAGAATGTAAAAAAAACTGAGATTAGAACAAATTTTTAAAAAAGTAAGGTTATTACATCTGTATATCTTTCTGTATGTGCTTTTAAAGTCCTTGTGACATTGAGTTACAGGGCTTTGACTCCTGGATCTATAAAGGACACCAAGTCCTGCTACATCTTAAACACTGACAACAATTAAAGCCTCATCTTCAGGCGCAGTAGAAGATGCCAATCAAAATAAATTGCATTCCTGAGACATAGGGCCAGAAATAAAAGCTATTCAACTCCTCAAGGCCCCAGGACTATTGTGGAAGAGGTGGGTGTGTGAGATTGAAAGGGCCAATTTTGAGAGACAAAATAAGTTCAATTTCTCTGTAAATTAATCATTAATGTCAAAGGCACACTGATGCAAGACAAGAATATGGCCCCCTGTGACAGATTAACAAGGTTTTAGTGAAGCATTAACTGACTCCTTAATAAAGGTTATAAAGGTTATAAAAGGCTTAAGAAAGTTATATCCTATTGTCAAGATTAAAAGTTCATAAATTGTTAATAAAATTTTGAAAAACAGATTTAATTGGTATCACACTGTTTTTATTAGGGCTTATAGTTTGGAAAATTAAGTCTTCTCTCTCAAAGAAAAAAGGTTTTTGCCTTTTTTTGGAATCCTTGTGTTATCACTTTGGTTAAATGAATGACTTATTTTACAATGACCTGTAATATCAAGTGTTTTAAACCATTGATATTTGACAAACTTTCCAAATCAAATTATAAATTATTTCTTTTTCAGACCTAATTAATCCTTTAAGATATTAGGTTCCCTAAAATCTAAAAATGAAATTTGGCTCACTTGGTGTAAAAATTATACAGGAAGTATTGTCAAACATGAAATGGTGTTTGGTTATCTTTGGGCTGTATTTGTATAAATATGTAATTGGCATGTGTTCCAAAATTATGGGAAACTCATATAACTCTGATATAACTTAGTATACATTATCAGTAATAATCATTGTCATGTTAAATTATGGTGTGCCACAGAGGTAACAAATTTCCCTGTCAATTGTGTTTTTGACTATGGCTGCTCTAAAACTTTTTGTCATCCACAGACAATTGTTTCTTGTTTTGCTCCTCTTTAGAAGGTGGTTTATAGAACTATAATACTCTAACAGGTGCTCTTGAATGCAGGTTTCTGATAACTTTGAAGACTGTGACATCAGAATAGAGGAAAAACTTTGAAAACTCATGGAGAGCTGAAATGTTCATGAATATCAAGCAGAGCAGGAATTAGCTGCATGAACTGAACTAATAGAAGACTGAAGTAATCTTTTTGACTTTTTGCTTAAAACATTGCTGATCCTTTGTTCTGTATTTTTCAGAGTCAAGGAAGCTTTTCTTTTGAGCTATTGGCAGCTTTTAACAATTTAGTATACTCCCGTGAACAAAATTTGGAGCTTATTTCTTTCTCTCTACCTGATTTCTCCAGAATTTGGAAACTATTTATTAGTATTCTTAACTTATGGCAATACAGTTATTTGCATAAGTGCAATAAGAATATGTTTTTATTTGAAACAGGACACAATTGGAGAAACTGGTTATTTTACCAAGGCTTTGACTGGCACGCTGTGCTTTCTTTCAGGAATCAAACTTGACTTATGGAGACAATAAAAGCCCCTTGGGAAAACTGGCCTCATACTTTGTCTACGCAGTGCCTGTACAGGGTTCCTGATCTGTGGTAAGTAAAAAATGTAACTTTCTGACAGGTCCAGGAGCCCCAAGTTTATCTTGGGATCTCAAGAGGAGAGAAATTCACCCACGCATAGGTGTTTGATGGTACAAATCCATGGCTGGGTTTCACTTCAAAAAAATATTATCTGAGATTCCTTCTGTGGAACAAAGTTCCATCAAAGCCAATTTAAAAGCCTATGTAAAAAAATAATTATTCTTGCTGTACTGTATACAAATAATCAGGCCAAGTATAATAAAGCAAATCAGTCCTACCATGATTTGTCTTTAGTAAAAATGGGAAATTGGAGAGAGAAAAAATTATGTTTCAAAAACTATAGTACACCTGTTGTTAGGTTCTAGTCTTGCTTAATGTTTTTAAATTTTTATTATTTTCTACAGTTTGGTCCGAATTCTAATTTTTCTTGGCTAAAATTCTGGGCATGACTGTTGAAAACAGGAGTGTGCAACTAAAGGAAAGCCAAGAAGCAGGGTGGGGGCAGGAGATGGAGGATCACTAGGACAAAGTGCCCAGGGTAAGGGGCATTCTGACTCAACCAACCTAACAGGATTCCTGTAGAAGGCAGCTCAGGGTGGCCACAAATTCCTTGGGGATGGTGAGGGACAAAGAACCTGGCCAGATATTGAAGCTGAGGGTGATTGATAGACATCAAGGGTGGGGGATTCTGGCTGAATTGAGGTAACAGGATTCTTGCTAAAACTGGGGTCTTGGGACACACCCCAAAATGGGGCCTCACTGAAAAAGGAGCCCAGAGGAGCCTGACTAGGGTTTGGGCAAGAAGAGAGTCCTTGTCACCAGAGAATGTTGTCTAAACACCATCCCATGAAGAAAAGGACAGCGGCCCAGCATTCTCTCTGCTTCCTGGCCCAAGTCCTCATCTTACTTGCGTTGACCTGATGATCTCCATGCTGTCCTCACACCCAGAGCAGAGGTGACAAGACTGTGTGGCCTTGTTTCTCCTTCAGCACAGCTGAGATGAACTAAAATCCACCGAAGGAACTTGAAGTTAGCACAAGTACAGGGACTAAGAATCCTAGAAAAGAAAAAACAGGTTTACTGAAACTCTAATGCAAGGTTGAAACCCTGGCAACAGGTCAAAATAGCACACATTTTTGTGTTTGTTGGTTTTGTAGGGACGGAGGGAAACCATCCCCTTTGCCTCTGAAAAAGTATTACTGGAAAATTAACTGGCAAAAGGCAGATTAATAAGAGAACAGGCATACAAAGGTATTAGTGTGCAAAGGACAGAATCAGGGTGATTAACCCAACCCCTCCCTCACCTGGGTTCAGAAGTTTATGTAGTATCTTGAGGTTACCAAAAGAATGGAGTGGAGAGCATGGCACAAAACATGCTATGGTGGGCAAATAAGTTATGAGAGGGAGAGAAGAGGAAGCCTGCCTAGCAAAGGTGGTCTTGTTGTGTAGCTGAAACCTCATAGGGAGCAGCCCTCAGAGAGAAGACGTGAAGGTTTCAGGTCTTTAAAGGTATCAGACTCTCAGTTAATCATCCCTAGCTCTAAGGGAGGGCCTCTGAGGAAGCCAGGCTGCATCGAGGCAGATTCTATCCAGATGCAACTCTCCCATGCCAAAGCCAGCTTTCCAGGGCTGTTTCTGTTGGCAGTCCCTCTGAAAAGCCACCTCAAAATATGTCAAAGAAAGACCCATATTAGGCTGAAATACTTTGGTTTCCTTCAGCTTTTTATTGGTTTTGTTTAAAAATAAAGACCCTACGGCCAGGCATGGTGGCTCATGCCTGTAATCCCAGCACTTTGGGAGGCCGAGGCGGGTGGATCACTTGGTCAGGAGATCGAGACCATCCTGGCTAACATGGTGAAACCCCGTCTCTACTAAAAAACACAAAAAATTAGCCGACCGTGGTGGCGGGCGCCTGTCGTCCCAGCTACTTGAGAGGCTGAGGCAGGAGAATGGCCTGAACCCGGGAGGCGGAGCTTGCAGTGAGCCGAGATCCTGCCACTGCACTGCAGCCTGGGTGACAGAGCACGACTCTGTCTCAAAAAAAAAGCCTACCTCTGGCTTCCTCATTCAGCGTCTCCCAGGGTGAGGCCCAGGCATTTGCATTTCTTGAAAGCTCCCCAGGGGAGCTGCCGGGGTAAGAACCCTCCTCTTCCAGATGGACATTCATTCCTTTGGGCAACAATCTTCATGCACCACGTACTGTGCATCCTAATCCAAATGCCTGTGATACACCAGGGACACCAGGGGGCAGCTGCCCCACGGAGCTTGTGTTGTTCCTCTGTCCCCTTTTCTCCCTGTGTCTGCACTGTATGGTTTCAGGGAGCCTTTTCTGATATGGATGCCACTTCCAGATTTCTCCATTGTGCTTGCTGTGGTGTGAAAGCTAGGACTATTTTTCTGTTCTTAATGTTTCCTGTGGTCTTTTTACCTGCCTGGCCCAAATTCCTTTCAAACCCTGGTTGGTCATCTGGTTCTGTTTCTGACTCTCAGATTTAGGAACCCAAGCATTGGTCATTCTCATCACCACCACGACACCCACACACCAGTGTCAGTTTCCTAAAGTCATCAATTGTTGGTCAGGGGAACGTTTGCAAAGCAGAAGATTGTGAAGAACCCTGTCCTGAATCCTCATGCAGCTCATACTTGAGCAACCTCTCCTGTCTTTTGAATTTGCTGCCAGAGTTGCTGTCTTGGCATCTTCTCTTTGCATTGCTTTTCATGAATCAGAGGCCTGATCCATTTCTCTCCCTGGATTGGTTCCATTGTCTTTGGTGCTGCGTGGTAGGCATACCTGACAGAAATAACTTAGGCATACCCTGTAGGGTAGACACACCTCTCAGCAATAACTTAGGCATAACCCGTAAGGTAGACACACCTGACAGAAATAACTTAGGCATACCCTGCAAGGCAGATGCACCTGTCAGCAATAATGTAGGCATACCCTGTAAGGCAGACTCACCTGACAACAATAACTTAGGCATACTCTGTAGGGGAGACACACCTGGCAGCAATAACGTAAGCATAATCTGTAAGGTAGACACACCTGACAACAATAACCTAGGCATAACCTGTAGGGCAGATGCACCTGTCAGCAATAATGTAGGCATACCGTGTAAGGTAGACTCACCTGGCAGCAATAACTTAGGCATAACCTGCAGGGTAGACTCACCTGACAACAATAACTTAGGCATACCTTGTAAGACAGGCGCACATGACAGCAATAACTTATCCTAAGAAATGAGGGTTGCTACATGGAGGTCGCTGGTGGGAGGGAGTTAAGTGATGGTGTTATATAAACTGCAAGCTTTTTTGCAAGCGATTACAGTTCTCCTATCCAGCCTGCTGACAGTGGATCGCCCTGTAAGTAACCCCTAAATAAGCCCTATAGGTTAATAGGGGCCCAGCACAATGGGTTTCTTACTCGTAACTTGATACCATCTTTATAGCTACAAGAGTAGAGATATTAACCTGTTCATTTACATTTATTTTAATTCTCCTTTCTTTTTCACCTGAGTATTCTCAGAGAATGAAACTTTTGTAGTTTATTTTTCTTATCCCATTGTGTCCTAAAGGAAATGCAAGGTTCACATGTTCTGTGTTTGTAGTTTTGTTTGTTTAGTTGAAGGGAACAAGTTAGATAAAGCCAAGGGAGCTGGAAAGTGATGAGACGCATGAAATCTCACAGATCTACAGAAGTCGATATCCCAGATCTTCCCTGGAGTATGAGCTAGTTCTTTGTGATATTTCTTGATCTGTATCATAATACTTTATTTCTTTGAGCACCTTTGCTGCCCAGTTTTCCATGTTTCTGAATATTGGTGGACTGTTTCTCCATCTCACTCGCTCCCTGTTTTGTATCTCATGAAAGCCAAACTAAACAGTAACAGCTGCTAACCTATGCGGCGAAACATGGGTAACTGAGACCTTAAAGAACTGAGCAAGATTTGCTCTCCTCTCAGCAAATCTCAACTCTCAAGTCACTCTTCTACCTGCATTGAAGAAAATCCTGGCAGGTTTTCTCTAGAAGGAACCACCAGGTGGGATGATGAGGGGATAATGAATTTCTTCTTTCCTGCACCAAGTGAGTTACGTTCCAGAAAAATAAAGGATGTTTGAGCCCTTCCATGTAAAAGTATCAACTGAGAAAAGGCAGTATTTGTTTTAAAACATTTTGCTGGAAGGGAAGAAAGTTATTTACAGGAAAACTATGAGGAGCTGGATACAGCTTAAACTCTGATAGGGAATTTAACCAAACAAAACAAAGTTCAGTAAAGACTCTGCAATTCGTGAGGAAAAGGCAACTCAGGGTTATCAGAAATGTTTTTTTCTTTTTTGCACTTTCATACCATATCGTTTATTGTCATGCATTTGTAGGATTATTGTAGACCTTACAAACTTTTATTTTACAATAATTTGCATTTATTCATTTGTTCCTTTTCCAACCTGCTCATTACAGTTCAGGACCAAGGGTGGCCAGAACCTATCCCAACAGCTCAGGGCACAAGGTAGGAAGCACACCTGGACAGGACACCATCCCATGGCAGGGTGCACTCATAATCTATGCCCACAGTCACTCAGAATGGGACCAATTAACCTCACGTGCACATCCTTGGAATGTGGGAGCAAACCGCAGCATCCAGAGAAAACCCACGCTGGCATGGGGAGAAAGTGTGAACTCCACTGACAGTGGCCCCAGCCAGGAATTGATTTTTTTTTTCCTCATCAACATTGTAACAAAAAGACATTGAGCAAAACATTACTCAAGGACCTGCTATATTGTGTCTTCTACAACCTAGTTATTAAAGCAGTTTTAACAATTGAATTAGATCACCAAAAGCTTTAAAATGACTTTCCTGATAGCCAATTCATTCACATGGTATAAAAACCCAAATCTCCTAGGCCAGGATAATTATATAATGCAACATTTTTAGAAGGGGAACTGAACAATAACTTCTTTAACTGAAACCCCAGTGGGGGATCTGAGATAAGTACAATGGAACTGCCTAAATTGGATGCTGCCCAGCCTTAGCACTCTGATCTGTAGGAAAGTGCCATGCAATTGTCATGGCAATAGGTGTTCTCTACAGGCAATGGAGAAAGAAGTGCAGAGATAAGGGTTTGCAAAGTAGCCAAAAGTTTAAAATCCCAGAGGCTGAAAAGTAAACTTTCACAAACCCACACATTTATAACTTAAGCACATTTCTGTATGTATATTTCAAAATGTTCACTGAAAAAAACCCCCAAAATAGAAAGCAAACAAGGAAACAGGCAAATGCTGATTGTGAAGCATTCTACAAGACAACTGTCCTAGATCCTTCAAAAAGGTCAATGACATGAAACATATACACCCCAAAAGGAGGGATTATTCTAGATTTAAAAGGCCAAAAGAGACACAACCAATTCATGAACCTTGGTTGGATTCTGAGTTGATTCTTTTTTAAAAGCTAAAAGGACATTTTGGGGAAGACTGGGGAAATCTGAACATGGAACATGGGTTGTTTATTAGACAATATTAGGAAATTGTTAGCTTTCTAAGGTGTGACAATAGTGTTGTGGTTATGCAGGAAAGTGTCCTTATCCATAGGAGATGCAGGCTGAGGAAACTCAAGATGTCTGCACTTATTTTTATTGTTTCAATGAAAACAAGGAAAAGTATTAAATGTGATAATAGTCTAACAATAAGTATTCATTGGTCTACTCTTTCAACTTTTCTTTAAATCTGAATATCTTTTTTTTATTATACTTTAAGTTCTAGGGTACATGTGCACAATGTGCAGGTTTGTTGCATATGTATACATGTGCCATGTTGGTGTGCTGCACCCATTAACTCGTCATTTACATTAGGTCTATCTCCTAATGCTATCCCTCCCCACTCTGCCCACCCCACGACAGGCCCCAGTGTGTGGTGTTCCACACCCTGTGTCCAAGTGTTCTCGTTGTTCAATTCCCACCTATGAGTGAGAACATGTGTTTGGTTTTCTGTCCTTGTGATAGTTTGCTCATGAATGATGATTTCCAGCTTCATCCATGTCCCTACAAAGGACATGAACTTATCCTTTTTTATGGCTGCATAGTATTCCATGGGGTATATGTGCCACATTTTCTTAATCCAATCTATCATTGATGGACATTTGGGTTGGTTTCAAGTCTTTGCTATGGTGAATAGTGCCACAATAAACATATATGTGCATGTGTCTTTATAGCAGCACGATTTATAATCCTTTGGGTATATACCCAGCAATGGGATGGCTGGGTCAAATGGTATTTCTAGTTTTAGATCCTTGAGGAATCACCACACTGTCTTCCACAATGGTTGAACTAGTTTACAGTCCCACCAATAATGTAAAAGTGTTCCTATTTCTCCACATCCTCTCCAGCACCTGTTGTTTCCTGACTTTTTAATGATTGCCATTCTAACTGGTGTGAGATGGCATCTCACTGTGGTTTTGATTTGCATTTCTCTGATGGCCAGTGATGATGAGCATTTTTTCATGTGTCTGTTGGCTCCATAAATGTTGTCTTTTGAAAAGCGTCTGTTCATATCCTTCACCCACTTCTTGATGGGGTTGTATGATTTTTTTTTCTTATAAATTTAAGCTCTTTGTAGATTCTGGATATTAGCCCTTTGTCAGATGGGTAGATTGCAAAAATTTTCTCCCATTTTGTAGGTTGCCTGTTTACTCTGATGATAGGTAGTTTTGCTGTGCAGAGGCTCTTTAATTAGATCCCATTTGTCAATTTTGGCTTTTGTTGCCATTGCTTTTGGTGTTTTAGATATGAAGTCCTTGCCCATGCCTATGTCCTGAATGGTATTGCCTAGGTTTTCTTCTAGGGATTTTATGGTTTTAGGTCTAACATTTAAGTCTTTAATCCATCTTGAATTAATTTTTGTATAAGGTGTAAGGAAGGGATCCAGTTTCAGCTTTCTACATATGGCTAGCCAGTTTTCCCAGCACCATTTATTAAATAGGGAATCCTTTCTCCATTTCTTGTTTTTGTCAGGTTTGTCAAAGATCAGATGGCTGTAGGTGTGTGGTGTTATTTCTGAGGGCTCTGTTCTGTTCCATTGATCTATATCTCTGTTTTGGTACCAGTACCATGCTGGTTTGGTTACTGTAGCCTTGTGGTATAGTTTGAAGTCAGGTAGCATGTTGCCTCCAGCTTTGTTCTTTTGGCTTAGGATTATCTTGGCAATGCAGGCTCTTTTTTGGTCCCATATGAACTTTAAAGTAGTTTTTTCCAATTCTGGGAAGAAAGTCATTGGTAGCTTGATGGGGATGGCATTGAATCTCTGAATTACCTTGGGCAGTGTGGCCATTTTCACGATATTGATTCTTCCTATCCATGAGCATGGAATGTTCTTCCATTTGTTTGTGTCCTCTTTTATTTTGTTGAGCAGTGGTTTGTAGTTCTCCTTGAAGAGGTCCTTCACATCCCATGTAAGTTGGATTCCTAGTTATTTTATTCTCTTTGAAGCAATTGTGAATGGGAGTTCATTCATGGTTTGGCTCTCTGTCTGTTATTGGTGTATAGGAATGCTTGTGATTTTTGCACATTGATTTTGTATCCTGAGACTTTGCTGAAGTTTCTTATCAGCTTAAGGAGATTTTGGGCTGAGACAATGGGGTTTTCTAAATATACAATCATGTCATCTGCAAACAGGGACAATTTGACTTCCTCTTTTCCTAATTGAATACCCTGTATTTCTTTCTCCTGCCTAATTGCCCTGGCCAGAACTTCCAACACTATGTTGAATAGGAGTGGTGAGAGAGGGCATCCCTGTCTTGTGCCAGTTTTCAAAGGGAATGCTTCCAGTTTTTTCCCCATTGAGTATGATATTGGCTGTCGGTTTGTCATAAATAGCTCTTATTATTTTGAGATATGTCCCATCAATACCTAATTCATTGAGAGTTTTTAGCATGAAGGGCCATTGAATGTTGTTGAAGGCCTTTTCTTCATCTATTGAGATAATCATGTGGTTTTTGTCTTTGGTTCTGTTTATATGATGGTTACACGTATTGATTTGCATATGTTGAGCCAGGCTTGCATCCCAGAGATGAAGCCAAATTGATCTTGGTGGATAAGCTTTTTGATGTGCTGCTGGATTCGGTTTGCCAGTACTTTATTGAGGATTTTTGCATCGATGTTCATCAGGGATATTGGTCTAAAATTCTCTCTTTTTTTTTGTTATGTCTCTGCCAGTCTTTGGTATCAGGATGATGCTGGCCTCATAAAATGAGTTAGGGAGGATTCCCTCTTTTCCTATTGATTGGAATAGTTTCAGAAGGGATGGTACCAGCTTTTCTTTGTACCTCTGTAGAATTTGGCTGTGAATCTGTCTCACCCTGGACTTTTTTTTGGTTGGTAGGCTCTTAATTATTGCCTCGATTTCAGAGCCTGTTATTGGTCTATTCAGGGATTCAAGTTCTTCCAGGTTTAGTCTTGGGAGGGTGTATGTGTCCAGGAATTTATCCATTTCTTCTAGATTTTCTAGTTTATTTGCGTAGAGCTGTTTATGGTATTCTCTGATGGTAGTTTGTATTTCTGTGGGATCGGTGGTGATATCCCCTTTATCATTTTTTATTGTGTCTATTTGATTCTTCTCTTTTCTTCATTAGTCTTGCTAGTGGCCTATCAATTTTGTTGATCTTTTCAAAAAACCAGCTCCTGGATTCATTTTTTTTTTTTTGAAAGTTTTTTTATGTCTCTATCTCCTTCAGTTCTGCTCTGATCTTAGTTATTTCTTGCCTTCTGCTAGCTTTTGAATGTGTTTGCTCTTCTCTAGTTCTTTTAATTGTGATGTTAGGGTGTCAATTTTAGATCTTTCCTGCTTTCTTTTGTGGGCATTTAGTGCTATAAATTTCCCTCTACACACTGCTTTGAATGTGTCCCAGAGATTCTGGTATGTTGTCTTTGTTCTCATTGGTTTTAAAGAACATCTTTATTTCTGCCTTCTTTTCGTTATGTACCCAGCAGTCATTCAGGAGCAGGTTGTTCAGTTTCCATGTAGTTGAGCGGTTTTGAGTGAATTTCTTAATCCTGAGTTCTAGTTTGATTACATTGTGGTCTGAGAGACAGATTGTTATAATTTCTGTTCTTTTCACATTTGCTGAGGAGTGCTTTACTTCCAACTATGTAGTCAATTTTGGAATAAGTGCAATGTGGTGCTGAGAAGAATGTGTATTCTGCTGATTTAGCATGGAGAGTTCTGTAGATGTCTACTAGTCTATGCACTTGGACTTTCAAGCCTCCAAGACTGAGCCAAATAACCTATTTTGAGTCACTCAGCCTCAGGTAATTCTGTGACAGCAACAGAAAACAGACTAAGACACACCCATATAATCCTCCCCGAGTAAGTGAAAGTCCATTGTCAAGCAACAAAGAGATATGCTTCTGGACTCGCTAGGGAAACACACCTCACTCCTCCTTTACCGCTCCACACAAGCACGGAGCCAAAAAGATCACCTTTCAGGATTCTCAAAATGCCCTCTGAAAACTCTGGTGAAGACCACACCTTCTGATTAGGAGTCTAGTTCATTAAGGCTGCTATGACAAAGTACTGTAGACTGGGTGTCTTACAAACAAAAAAGAGATATCTCACAGATCTCGAGGCTAAAAGTCCAAGATCAAGGTGCGGGCAGATTCAGGGTCTGGCGGGGTCTGCATCCTGGGTCACAGACAGCTGTCCTCTCACTGTCCTCATGTGGCGAAACAAGCATGCGATCTCTCTGGGGGCTCTTTTATCGGAAGCACTGGTGTAGTGTGGATGTTTGTCCCTTCCAAATCCCATGTTGAGGTTTGATCCCCATTGTTGGAGGTGGAGTCTAATGGGAGGTTTGGGGTCATGGGGTTGGCCCCTCATGAATACATGAATGCCCTCTCTGGGGAGGGGTAAGGTCTTAGTCTATTAGTTCCCATAAGAGCTGGTTGTTAAACAGAAACTGGCCCCTCCCCTCCTTCCTGCTTCCGTTCTCATCACGCGATCTCTGCACACACCAGCTCCCCTTCACCTTCTTCCACGCTTGGAAGCAGCCTGAGGCCCTCACCAGAATCCCAGTCCTGAAACTTCCAGCCAGCAGAACTGTGAGCTGAATAAACTTCTTTTCTCTATAAATTACCCAGCTTCAAGTCCTCCTTTATAGCAACAATAAATGGACTAAGAGGGGCTCTAATCCCATTCATGAGGGTTCCACCCTCACGACCTAATCACCTCCACAGGACCCACCACCAAATAGCATCACCTTGGGGGTTAAGGCTTCATATACGACTTTGGTGGGGATGTAAAGATTCCATTCATTGCACAGGGCAAAGGGAGGCCATAGCAGCAGGGTCATAGTGTTCTGGGGCTGCTCACTGCCCCTCACTCCCAGGCCTGCCCCACCTCAGCCAAGGCCTTCATGCTGCTCTGGGCTACCTCTCCCAGGTCCTGCATCCCAAGCAAAGGTGCAGACTCAATTGAGATCTCCTGAGACTCACTCCCTGCCCCTGCAACAAGATGGCCATGTCCTTGTCAAGTTCTTCTCTAGGAAAATGTGGGATTCACATAGAGGCTTGTATCTACCTGTGCAGAGGTTTTCCAGAGCCTCGTGTTACCTCCTCTATCTCATCATTGGTTTTTGGCTTCAGTCTCACCTTCTTGGTGATGTCTTTGTCCCTGTGTCATTCTAATCAAAGTAGCTCCCCAGTCCCCACTGTGTCTCTCCATCTTACTCCTCAGTTTTAGTTTCTTCAGAACAAATGTGACCAGAGCAATTGCCTGAATTATTCCCTTATTTTGTGGTGTGTTTTCATATTTATTGACTGATTTCTCCAACACTAATCACCACACCTAGAAAAGCTCCCTAGTATGTGGTCAGTGCTCAATAAATATTTGCGGAATGAATGAAATTGAGTTCTAAGCATAGGCACAGTGGGGGTTTTTTTTTTTAAGTTTTTCTGTGCTCTGTTCTTATTTTCTGTGATCTGCAAACTATCTCTAAATCCTTATGAAAGGTTGCATCCAACACTGTTTTTTTGCAGTGGGAAATTGAGAGGCCCATGTTGCACTCAAACAGAGCAGCGAAGCATTCGTCATCCCTCCCCTCAGGGCTGGGACTAACAGCAGGGTCTTCCTCAACAGGGTACAGCTATGCCCAGCTGAGTGACAAATGCTCTAGTCACAGAGAACACAGCAGCACAGGAGGCCAGCATGGTGGCCACAGGGGGGAGTTCACACATGGCCGCTTGTGGACAGGTGCAGGGTGGCAGCCCTGAGGAGGTTCAGAGATGACCAGGGACATCTTGAGGTAGCAGCATCAGTCATGAACCAGGATATAAAAATCCATGCTGCTTATTTAAACAGGATGTGTCATCAGATGGTGGGAGTATCTGGAAGCCAGTAGGGAACAATGAAGCAACCCAGAGGCTTTTAAACACAGGAAGTCGCTACCCTCCTAGGCTAGAGAAGCAGAGGAGGCAGTGCTGGAGGCAGATCCCGGGGTCCCTGGAAGAAGCAGCAGCCATGGAGGGCCTGAGGGAGGCAGCCAGGATGACTGGAGGGATGGAAGCTGTTGCTGTGTCCCCCAGAGAAGGGAAGAAAAGGCACCTGGACTCTGGCTTCCCTTTCTGCTCTCAGCAGCACCTCACAGTGGCCAAGCCCACCTGGAAGGCTGCGGGCAGAGAAGGCAGTACCCTGGGCTGAAGAGGCTGCCCTCCTGGGCTACAGCAGAGCAGGAGAGGGAGGAGGAGGGGCACTGAGCAGACAGGAGTGTCAGTCAGGATGACCCTGGCCCTGCATCCTCTGGGAGGTTATCAATGAAATCCGCCACCTTAAGTAGTTCAGGCTGATGGGACGAGAATGCTGGGTTATGTAATTGTCACGGTGTTCACTGAGGCAGATAACTAGAACAAATATAAACTTATTTGTTCCTGAGATTTGTTCCTTAAATCTCATTAAGGCTTCTTAAGCATTCACAAGATTGAAGCCACCTTTGCCAGAGGTTAGGATTAATAGGTGGGGTTAGATATCCTACCTGAAATTCAGTTCCAGAAATATTTACTGAGTATTTTTTACGTGGAAATCAGTGTTCCTAGTGTTAGAAATGCAAAATGTTTCTTCTTTTGTGCCACAAGGAAAAATCAGCATTCAGACAAAAAGTTCTCTCAGTGAGGCAATTTTTACTTTCTGCAGAAAGGGTACCCCTTGCAGATGGAACAATGGTGAGGACACACATAGAATAAAGAGACATCAGGGTATCTATTCCTTACGCATGAGGTCCCTATTGCTGTGTCCGTCCTGTCTCCGCTGGCTGGAGCCAGACCTCACAATCTAAATTAAAACCCGATTGGCTAATTTTAAGCTTTTTTAAATAGGTAGAAAAGTAATATTCCCAAATAAGAAAGGGGCATAGGCTGTGAGCTGGGGCATGCCTATGAGCACGTCCAACACAAATATCTTGGTTAAGGTACAAGGACATAGGATGTACAACTTGCCTGTGAGCATGTCTAACAGCTGTATAGCCTAGGGCTTAACAAAGTTATTAGCATAAAGCAAGGAGGCTTGAAGGAAGTTAGTCTTTAAAAGAAACTATCATTTCTAACATTTATGATTTATTCTTTCACAAGGAAAACTTTGAAGAGGAAACTTTACACTATTTTTTTTTTTTTTTTTATTATACTCTAAGTTTTAGGGTACATGTGCACATTGTGCAGGTTAGTTACATATGTATACATGTGCCATGCTGGTGCGCTGCACCCACTAATGTGTCATCTAGCATTAGGTATATCTCCCAATGCTATCCCTCCCCCCTCCCCCGACCCCACCACAGTCCCCAGAGTGTGATATTCCCCTTCCTGTGTCCATGTGATCTCATTGTTCAATTCCCACCTATGAGTGAGAATATGCGGTGTTTGGTTTTTTGTTCTTGCAATAGTTTACTGAGAATGATGGTTTCCAATTTCATCCATGTCCCTACAAAGGATATGAACTCATCATTTTTTATGGCTGCATAGTATTCCATGGTGTATATGTGCCACATTTTCTTAATCCAGTCTATCATTGTTGGACATTTGGGTTGGTTCCAAGTCTTTGCTATTGTGAATAGTGCCGCAATAAACATACGTGTGCATGTGTCTTTATAGCAGCATGATTTATACTCATTTGGGTATATACCCAGTAATGGGATGGCTGGGTCAAATGGTATTTCTAGTTCTAGATCCCTGAGGAATCGCCACACTGACTTCCACAATGGTTGAACTAGTTTACAGTCCCACCAACAGTGTAAAAGTGTTCCTATTTCTCCGCATCCTCTCCAGCACCTGTTGTTTCCTGACTTTTTAATGATTGCCATTCTAACTGGTGTGAGATGATATCTCATAGTGGTTTTGATTTGCATTTCTCTGATGGCCAGTGATGATGAGCATTTCTTCATGTGTTTTTTGGCTGCATAAATGTCTTCTTTTGAGAAGTGTCTGTTCATGTCCTTTGCCCACTTTTTGATGGGGTTGTTTGTTTTTTTCTTGTAAATTTGTTTGAGTTCATTGTAGATTCTGGATATTAGCCCTTTGTCAGATGAGTAGGTTGCGAAAATTTTCTCCCATGTTGTAGGTTGCCTGTTCACTCTGATGGTAGTTTCTTTTGCTGTGCAGAAGCTCTTTAGTTTAATTAGATCCCATTTGTCAATTTTGTCTTTTGTTGCCATTGCTTTTGGTGTTTTGGACATGAAGTCCTTGCCCACGCCTATGTCCTGAATGGTAATGCCTAGGTTTTCTTCTAGGGTTTTTATGGTTTTAGGTTTAACGTTTAAATCTTTAATCCATCTTGAATTGATTTTTGTATAAGGTGTAAGGAAGGGATCCAGTTTCAGCTTTCTACATATGGCTAGCCAGTTTTCCCAGCACCATTTATTAAATAGGGAATCCTTTCCCCATTGCTTGTTTTTCTCAGGTTTGTCAAAGATCAGATAGTTGTAGATATGTGGCATTATTTCTGAGGGCTCTGTTCTGTTCCATTGATCTATATCTCTGTTTTGGTACCAGTACCATGCTGTTTTGGTTACTGTAGCCTTGTAGTATAGTTTGAAGTCAGGTAGTGTGATGCCTCCAGCTTTGTTCTTTTGGCTTAGGATTGACTTGGCAATGCGGGCTCTTTTTTGGTTCCATATGAACTTTAAAGTAGTTTTTTCCAATTCTGTGAAGAAAGTCATTGGTAGCTTGATGGGGATGGCATTGAATCTGTAAATGACCTTGGGCAGTATGGCCATTTTCACCATATTGATTCTTCCTACCCATGAGCATGGAATGTTCTTCCATTTGTTTATGTCCTCTTTTATTTCCTTGAGCAGTGGTTTGTAGTTCTCCTTGAAGAGGTCCTTCACATCCCTTGTAAGTTGGATTCCTAGGTATTTTATTCTCTTTGAAGCAATTGTGAATGGGAGTTCACCCATGATTTGGCTCTCTGTTTGTCTGTTGTTGGTGTATAAGAATGCTTGTGATTTTTGTACATTGATTTTGTATCCTGAGACTTTGCTGAAGTTGCTTATCAGCTTAAGGAGATTTTGGGCTGAGACAATGGGGTTTTCTAGATAAACAATCATGTCGTCTGCAAACAGGGACAATTTGACTTCCTCTTTTCCTAATTGAATACCCTTTATTTCCTTCTCCTGCCTGATTGCCCTGGCCAGAACTTCCAACACTATGTTGAATAGGAGTGGTGAGAGAGGGCATCCCTGTCTTGTGCCAGTTTTCAAAGGGAATGCTTCCAGTTTTTGCCCATTCAGTATGATATTGACTGTGGGTTTGTCATAGATAGCTCTTATTATTTTGAAATATGTCCCATCAATACCTAATTTATTGAGAGTTTTTAGCATGAAGGGTTGTTGAATTTTGTCAAAGGCTTTTTCTGCATCTATTGAGATAATCATGTGGTTTTTGTCTTTGGCTCTGTTTATATGCTGGATTACATTTATTGATTTGTGTATATTGAACCAGCCTTGCATCCCAGGGATGAAGCCCACTTGATCATGGTGGATAAGCTTTTTGATGTGCTGCTGGATTTGGTTTGCCAGTATTTTATTGAGGATTTTTGCATCAATGTTCATCAAGGATATTGGTCTAAAATTCTCTTTTTTGGTTGTGTCTCTGCCCGGCTTTGGTATCAGAATGATGCTGGCCTCATAAAATGAGTTAGGGAGGATTCCCTCTTTTTCTATTGATTGGAATAGTTTCAGAAGGAATGGTACCAGTTCCTCCTTGTACCTCTGGTAGAATTCGGCTGTGAATCCATCTGGTCCTGGACTCTTTTTGGTTGGTAAACTATTGATTATTGCCACAATTTCAGAGCCTGTTATTGGTCTATTCAGAGATTCAACTTCTTCCTGGTTTAGTCTTGGGAGAGTGTATGTGTCGAGGAATGTATCCATTTCTTCTAGATTTTCTAGTTTATTTGTGTAGAGGTGTTTGTAGTATTCTCTGATGGTAGTTTGTATTTCTGTGGGATCGGTGGTGATATCCCCTTTATCATTTTTTATTGTGTCTATTTGATTCTTCTCTCTTTTTTTCTTTATTAGTCTTGCTAGCGGTCTATCAATTTTGTTGATCCTTTCAAAAAACCAGCTCCTGGATTCATTGAGTTTTTGAAGGGTTTTTTGTGTCTCTATTTCCTTCAGTTCTGCTCTGATTTTAGTTATTTCTTGCCTTCTGCTAGCTTTTGAATGTGTTTGCTCTTGCTTTTCTAGTTCTTTTAATTGTGATGTTAGGGTGTCAATTTTGGATCTTTCCTGCTTTCTCTTGTAGGCATTTAGTGCTATAAATTTCCCTCTACACACTGCTTTGAATGCGTCCCAGAGATTCTGGTATGTGGTGTCTTTGTTCTCATTGGTTTCAAAGAACATCTTTATTTCTGCCTTCATTTCGTTATGTACCCAGTAGTCATTCAGGAGCAGGTTGTTCAGTTTCCATGTAGTTGAGCAGTTTTGAGTGAGATTCTTAATCCTGAGTTCTAGTTTGATTGCACTGTGGTCTGAGAGATAGTTTGTTATAATTTCTGTTCTTTTACATTTGCTGAGGAGAGCTTTACTTCCAACTATGTGGTCAATTTTGGAATAGGTGTGGTGTGGTGCTGAAAAAAATGTATATTCTGTTGATTTGGGGTGGAGAGTTCTGTAGATGTCTATTAGGTCCACTTGGTGCAGAGCTGAGTTCAATTCCTGGGTATCCTTGTTGACTTTCTGTCTTGTTGAGCTGTCTAATGTTGACAGTGGGGTGTTAAAGTCTCCCATTATTAATGTGTGGGAGTCTAAGTCTCTTTGTAGGTCACTGAGGACTTGCTTTATGAATCTGGGTGCTCCTGTATTGGGTGCATAAATATTTAGGATAGTTAGCTCCTCTTGTTGAATTGATCCCTTTACCAATATGTAATGGCCTTCTTTGTCTCTTTTGATCTTTGTTGGTTTAAAGTCTGTTTTATCAGAGACTAGGATTGCAACCCCTGCCTTTTTTTGTTTTCCATTGGCTTGGTAGATCTTCCTCCATCCTTTTATTTTGAGCCTATGTGTGTCTCTGCACGTGAGATGGGTTTCCTGAATACAGCACACTGATGGGTCTTGACTCTTTATCCAATTTGCCAGTCTGTGTCTTTTAATTGCAGAATTTAGTCCATTTATATTTAAAGTTAATATTGTTATGTGTGAATTTGATCCTGTCATTATGATGTTAGCTGGTGATTTTGCTCATTAGTTGATGCAGTTTCTTCCTAGTCTCGATGGTCTTTACATTTTGGCATGATTTTGCAGCGGCTGGTACCGGTTGTTCCTTTCCATGTTTAGCGCTTCCTTCAGGAGCTCTTTTAGGGCAGGCCTGGTGGTGACAAAATCTCTCAGCATTTGCTTGTCTATAAAGTATTTTATTTCTCCTTCACTTATGAAGCTTAGTTTGGCTGGATATGAAATTCTGGGTTGAAAATTCTTTTCCTTAAGAATGTTGAATATTGGCCCCCACTCTCTTCTGGCTTGTAGGGTTTCTGCCGAGAGATCTGCTGTTAGTCTGATGGGCTTTCCTTTGAGGGTAACCCGACCTTTCTCTCTGGCTGCCCTTAACATTTTTTCCTTCATTTCAACTTTGGTGAATCTGACAATTATGTGTCTTGGAGTTGCTCTTCTCGAGGAGTATCTTTGTGGCATTCTCTGTATTTCCTGAATCTGAACGTTGGCCTGCCTTGCTAGATTGGGGAAGTTCTCCTGGATAATATCCTGCAGAGTGTTTTCCAACTTGGTTCCATTCTCCACATCACTTTCAGGTACACCAATCAGACGTAGATTTGGTCTTTTCACATAGTCCCATATTTCTTGGAGGCTTTGCTCATTTCTTTTTATTCTTTTTTCTCTAAACTTCCCTTCTCGCTTCATTTCATTCATTTCATCTTCCATTGCTGATACCCTTTCTTCCAGTTGATCGCATCGGCTCCTGAGGCTTCTGCATTCTTCACGTAGTTCTCGAGCCTTGGTTTTCAGCTCCATCAGCTCCTTTAAGCACTTCTCTGTATTGGTTATTCTAGTTATACATTCTTCTAAATTTTTTTCAAAGTTTTCAACTTCTTTGCCTTTGGTTTGAATGTCCTCCCGTAGCTCAGAGTAATTTGATCGTCTGAAGCCTTCTTCTCTCAGCTCGTCAAAATCATTCTCCATCCAGCTTTGTTCTGTTGCTGGTGAGGAACTGCGTTCCTTTGGAGGAGGAGAGGCGCTCTGCGTTTTAGAGTTTCCAGTTTTTCTGTTCTGTTTTTTCCCCATCTTTGTGGTTTTATCTACTTTTGGTCTTTGATGATGGTGATGTACAGATGGGTTTTCGGTGTAGATGTCCTTTCTGGTTGTTAGTTTTCCTTCTAACAGACAGGACCCTCAGCTGCAGGTCTGTTGGAATACCCTGCCGTGTGAGGTGTCAGTGTGCCCCTGCTGGGGGGTGCCTCCCAGTTAGGCTGCTCGGGGGTCAGGGGTCAGGGACCCACTTGAGGATGCAGTCTGCCCGTTCTCAGATCTCCAGCTGCGTGCTGGGAGAACCACTGCTCTCTTCAAAGCTGTCAGACAGGGACACTTAAGTCTGCAGAGGTTACTGCTGTCTTTTTGTTTGTCTGTGCCCTACCCCCAGAGGTGGAGCCTACAGAGGCAGGCAGGCCTCCTTGAGCTGTGGTGGGCTCCACCCAGTTCGAGCTTCCAGGCTGCTTTGTTTACCTAAGCAAGCCTGGGCAATGGCGGGCGCCCCTCCCCCAGCCTCGTTGCCGCCTTGCAGTTTGATCTCAGACTGCTGTGCTAGCAATCAGCGAGATTCCGTGGGCGTAGGACCCTCTGAGCCAGGTGTGGGATATAGTCTCGTGGTGCGCCGTTTCTTAAGCCGGTCTGAAAAGCGCAATATTCGGGTGGGAGTGACCCGATTTTCCAGGTGCGTCTGTCACCCCTTTCTTTGACTCGGAAAGGGAACTCCCTGACCCCTTGCGCTTCCCAGGTGAGGCAATGCCTCGCCCTGCTTCGGCTCGCGCACGGTGCGCACACACACTGGCCTGCGCCCACTGTCTGGCACTCCCTAGTGAGATGAACCCGGTACCTCAGATGGAAATGCAGAAATCACCCGTCTTCTGCGTCGCTCACGCTGGGAGCTGTAGACCGGAGCTGTTCCTATTCGGCCATCTTGGCTCCTCCTCACTTTACACTATTTTTTTAAGTCAGGCATATAAGAATAAGAGTTCCATATTCACTTTGTGAGGCTATATTTTCACATGTTCGCTTGGGCTGGGACTAAAACAACAGCCTTCCTTGAAACTAGGATATGGGAGTGATGGTAATAGGGCAATTGCATCATGATGAAAGAATACCTGAGACTGGGTAATTAATAAAGAAAAGGGGTTCAATTGGCTCATGGTCTGCAGTCTGGACATGAAGCATGGTGCTGGCATCTGCTTCTGGGGAGGGCCACAGGGAGCTTACAGTGACAGCGGAAGGTAAGGGGGGAGCCTGTGTCTCACACCACAAGAGTGGGAACAAGAGAGTGAGGGGGCAGGTGCCACACTTTACACAGCCAGGTGCCCATGAACTCAAAGCGAGAACTAATCACATGGGGGTGGTGCTGAACCATTCATGAGTGATCCAGTCCATGATCCAATCACGTCCCACCAGGCCCTGCCTCCAGCACTGGGGATTACATTTCTGCATAGGATTTGGAGTGCACAAATATCCAAATCATATCAGTAATTATTGCTGAATTTTGAAGCCCCTGGTCCCAGGGATAAACACCTTCCCAAACTGTGGCCTGGAAGACCAAGGGAGAATTTCCTGTCTCTGGGGCATGGATTACACCAGGGAAAAACATCAGGTGTTTGAGTGCCAATGGCTCTACCATTTGTAGGTTGTAACACATGATCAGAAGAATGCAACAGATCAAATATCCAGCTTTGCTAAGGTTGCAGAGTTTGGTCTGAGCTAGGAGTGCGCATTCTTCACCAAGGTCTTCCTCAGAATCTATGCCATGGGACCTGTGCTTGCTGAAGGGGGGATAAGCCACAGTTGAAGACACTCCAACTTCAGAGAACACAGCTCCCTTTAATACTGAAAAGCTTGCTGCCATCAGCACCCCAAGTTTTCTCCTTTCCTAGCCTTGGGTGTTCTACGTGTGTGAACTGTAGGAAAAGAGGAGACACCCAGCATGTAAGAGAGCAGTAGGGAGTACTCAGAACCCACTAAAGACAGCAGATCCTCCTGCTCTCAGCCCCAGGGCACCCCTACCCACCATCCCCCAGACCAAATGAACTCTGCTGTGCAGCTCCTCCTGCCTAAAATTGTCTCCATTCCTGTTTTTCATGCCGCAGGAAGTTAGACAAATGCTGAGGTTATCAGAACAGTAACAACAACAATACTTACTGCTGTGTGCCAGCGCCTTTATTGAAGTGTAATTTATATATCATGAAACTCACCAATTTTTAACATACAGTTCTATGAGTTTTAGCAAATGTCTAGAGTTCTGCAATCATCCCTGTGTTAAGGCTCAGAAAATCATACTACAAAGTGGAAAATGATACCCCAAGGTAGGGAGCTTTGACAGGCTGAACTGAGACAGCAGGCTCAGGGTCTCCCCCACCATACCCCTCCCCTCCTCCCACCTTTCCTCCCTTTGTCTCCCAAGAAGTGCAAGATTAGGCTCTTTTCTGAAGTTTCTTTACCTAGAAACTGGACTCACAAAGAGGAACACAATTGCTTTCAATCTCTCCCTGAAATTTCATTAACCAAAGAGGATTAGAACTTATGTAACAGAGGAAGAGACTGAAAATTAAACACCAACATTTACAGCCTAAACCAACTTTGTCCCAAATTGTTATTTGTTCTGTGCTCCCAACATCCAAAGTAAATAGACTACAGGATGATCTTTGCCTCCCAGGTCCATTCATCTCTCCTGAAAATCATTGACTCCCATACCGCCTATTTCCTCACCTCCCCTTCTCCCATGAAGTGAGGTATATAAGCACCTGGACCTCACCTGGGTTATTAGGTCATGATTCTTCTGCAATTCTTCCATTCTATACACATAAAAATAAACTTATATGCCTTTTCGCTCCTCATAATTTTTTTTTTGTTCATTCATTTTCAGTGAAATTTCAAAGGATAAAGAGGTAAGATTTCCCTTTTTGGCCCTATAACCACAATCTCATTTTGAAACACTTTCATCACCCCAAAAAAATTCTCTGTGCCCATCTGCAGGCAATCTCTCCTCCCAACACCAGCTCTAAGTAACCTGTAACCTACTTTCTGTCTATAAAGCTTCACCTCTTCCAGAAATTTTATAAAAATCAAGTCAAACAATAATTTTTTAAATATTTGACTTTTACTTGATTAAAATATTTGTGGTTAATTTTTGTTCTTGCCTGTACCAATAGTTTGCTCCTTCTTATTGAGAAGTATTTGTTCCATTGTATGGATGTACCGCGTTCTGTTTCTCTATTCACCAGTGAACGGAATTTAGATTGTTTCTAGTTTTTGGCTATTATGAATAGTATTGGTACAATGAACATTTGTGTAGGAGTCTGTGAATCTACATTTTTCTTTTGGGTGGTTGTCTAGGAATGGAACTTCTGGGATCTAGAATAAGTGTATGTTTAACTTGTTAAACTGCCTCACTGTTTTTCAATGTGGCTGCACCATCTTACATTTTTCATTAGCCATGTTTGACTCTCCTGCCCAGAGACAGCCACCTCATCCTGTTTCTCCACCTTTGTTTGCTTTGTTTTGCTGACTGTGCCCACTGGTGTTTCTAGGTCATGAGCCTCCTCAGTGCCCAGTCCAGGATATACAGGAGGCAAAAAGATCCAGAGGACTTACTGCCCAGTCATCTCTTCAGTCCTGGGGTCTAGGTCCCTAGACAGTCTGCCTTCTTTTCTCAACATTTCAGAGACTTTTACTGTTTTTAGGTGTAACGGGTAGGGGAGCACATTTAAGTGCGACACTACATTTCTGGAACCAGAAGCAGGTGTCATGGTTAAGAGCATGCGCAAGTCTAAATCACACTGCCAAGTCTCATCTCCTGTCTCTGGCTTACTTCTCCCACGTCCCGGGAGAAGTCCAGCAGAGGCATTGGCTCCAAATCGAATCTCCTGAGACTCACTCCCCTTCCCCCCGCAACAATATGACCGTGTCCTTGTCAAGTTCTCCTTTAGGAAAGTACTTGAGTCACGCCAAGAATAGTACCTGTCTGAGCAGAGGTTCCCTAGAGCACCATGTCACCCCCTCTCTCTCATCATTTTGTTCTTAGCTTCAGTCTCATCTTCTCAGTGAGGTCTTCATCCCTGTGTCACTCTATTCAGCGTAGCTTCCCAGTCCCCATTATCTGTCTCCTTCTCAACCCTCTGTTTCAGTTTCTTAAGAATTGTCATTGTTAGTAATTATTTGATTTATTCACTTATTTCATGGTGTGTTTTCATAATTATTTTGATTCTTCCAACTCTAACTACCACACCGAGAAAAACTCCCTAGTATTAAACACATCTTTGTTAATCGAAATAGGAACGATTACGACCAACACATTTTTGCCAATGAGAAATAAGTTTGTTCCTATAACATAAAAATCCATGCTTCAGCATTCTATGAACTCTCAGAAAGCATTTTCTGTATCAAGCTGGTTGTGGAAGCATTTTCCCTGCAAAAAGTTGTCAGATGCTTCAAAAAGTGGTAGGTGGTTGGTGAGAGGTCAGGTGAATATGGCGAATGAGTCAAAACTTTGTAGCACAATTCCTTCCATTTTTGAAGTGTTGGTTGTGCAACGTGCAACTGGGCGTTGTGGAGAAAAACTGGGCCATTTATGTTGACCAGTGACTGCTATAGGCATTGCAGTTTTCAGTGCATCTCATATATCTGCTGAGCATACTTCTCAGATGTGATTTTGCTGGGATTCAGAAAGCAGTAGTGGATCAGACCAGCAGCAGATCACCAAACAGTGACCATGACCTTTTTTGGTACAAATTTGGCTTTGGGAAGTGCTTTGGGGCTTCTTGGTCCAACCATTGAGCTGATCCTCATCAGTTGTCTTATAAAACTCACTTTTTGTTGCATGTTACAATCAAATCATGCAATGGTTCATTGTTGTTGCATAGGATAAGAGAAAATGAAACTTCATGGTTCTTTTGATTTTTTGCTCAGCTCATGAGGTACCACTTATTTCACCTTTCCAATTTGCTTCAAATGCTAAACGTCTGTAGAATGATCGATGTTGAGTTCTTTGGCAACTTCTTGTAAGAGGATCAGCTTTGATTGCTTTCAATTTGTAGTTGTCAACTTTCGATGGCCGGCCACTACATCATCTTCAAGGCTCTTGTCTTTGTAAAACTTCTTGAACGACCACTGCACTGTATATTAGTCAGCAGTTCCTGGGCTAAGTGTGTTTTTGTTGTTGTGTGTTTCTGCTGCTTTACAAATCATTTTGAACTCGAATAAGAAAATCACTCGAATTTGCTTTTTGTCTAATGTAATTTCCAGTCTAAAATAAACATAAAATAAACAGCAAGTAATAAGTCACTAGCAAAATAAAGTGAGAAATGCCCATTAAAATGATACATAATATAATCACATTTATTTAAGAATGTATTCTAGTATCAAACAGCAAATTCCAACAATGCAAAAACCACAATTTTTTTTATTCTTTAAGTTCTGGGATATGTGTGCAGAATGTGCAGGTTTGTTACATAGGTATACACATGCCATGGTGGTTTGCTGCACCCATCAATCCATCTACGTTACGTATTTCTCGTAATGCTATCCCTTCCCCATCCCCCCACCCCACAACAGGCCCCCGGTGTGTGATGTTCCCCACCCTGTGTCCAAGTGTTCTCATTGTTCAATTCCCACCTATGAGTGAGAACATGTGGTGTTTGGTTTTTCTGTCCTTGCAATGGTTTGCTCAGAATGATGGTTTCCAGCTTCATCCATGTCCCTACAAAGGACATGAACTCATGCTTTTTTATGGCTGCATAGTATTCCATGATGTATATGTGCCACATTTTCTTTATCCAGTCTATCACTGATGGACATTTGGGTTGGTTCCAAGTCTTTGCTATTGTGAATAGTGCCACAATAAACATATGTGTGCATGTGTTGTCTTAGTAGAATGATTTATAATCCTTCAGGTATATACCCAGTAATGGGATTGCTAGGTCAAATGGTATTTCTGGTTCTAGATCCTTGTTGAATTGTCACACTGTCTTCCACAATGGTTGAACTAATACACTCTCACCAACAGTGTAAAAGAATTCTTATTTTTCCACATTCTCTCCAGCATCTGTTGTTTCCTGACTTTAATGATTGCCATTCTAACTGGCATGAGATGGTATCTCATTGTGGTTTTGATTTGCGTTTCTCTAATGAGTAATGTTGAGCTTTTTTCGTGTTTGACTGCATAAATGTAGTCTTTTGAGAAATGTCTGTTCATATCCTTTGCCCACTTTTTGATTTTTTTTTTTTTGTCTGTAAATTTAAGTTCCTTGTAGATTCTGGGTATTAGCCCTTTGTCAGATGGATAGATTACAAACATTTTCTCCCAGGGTTGCCTGTTCACTCTGATAGTTTCTCTGGCTGTGCAGAAGCTCTTTAGTTTAATTGGATCTTATTTGTCAATTTTGGCTTTTGTTGCCATCGCTTTTGGTGTTTTAGTCATGAAGTGTTTGCCCATGCCTATCTCCTGAATGGTATTGCCTAGGTTTTCTTCTAGAGTTTTACTGGTTTTGGGTCTTACGTTTAAGTCTTTAATCCATCTTGAGTTAATTTTTGTATAAGGTGTAAGGAAGGGGTCCGGTTTGTTGTCTGCATATAGCCAGTTTTCCCAACACCATTTATTAAATAGGGATTCCTTTCAGCATTGCTTGTTCTTGTCAGGTTTGTCAAAGATCAGATGGTTGTAGATGTGTGGTGTTATTTCTGAGGGCTCTGTTCTTGTTCTTTTAGTCTATATATGTTTTGATACCAGTACCATGCTGTTTTGGTTACTGTAGCCTTGCATAGTTTGAAGTCAGGTAGCATGATGCCTCCAGCTTTGTTCTTTTTGCTTAGGATTGTCTTGGCTGTACAGGCTCTTTTTAGGTTCCATATGAAATTTACAGTAGTTTTTTCTAATTCTGCAAAGAAAGTCATTGGTAGCTTGATGGGGATAGCACTGAATCTATAAATTACTTTGGGCAGTATGGACATGTTCATGATATTAATTCTTCCTATCCATGAGCATGGAATGTTTTCCCATTTGTTTGTGTCCTCTCATTTCCTTGAGCAGTGGTTTGTAATTCTCCTTGAAGAGGTCCTTCACATCCCTCTTAAATGTATTCCTATGTATTTTATTCCCTTTGTAGCAATTGTGAATGGGAGTTCACTCATGATTTGGCTCTGCCTTTATTGGTGTATAAGAATGCTTGTGATTTTTGCACATTGATTTTGTGTCCTGAGACTTTGCTAAAGTTGTTTCATCAGCTTAAGGAGATTTTGGGCTGAGACAATGGGCTTTTTAAAATATGCAATCGTGTCAGTTGCAAACAGATAATTTGACTTCCTCTCTTCCTGTTTGAATATCCTTTATTGCTTTCCCTTGCCTGATTGCCCTGGCCAGAACTTCCAATACTATGTTGAATAGGAGTGGTGAGAGAGGGGATCCTTGTCTTGTGCCAGTTTTCAAAAGGAATGCTTCCAGCTTTTGCCCATTCAGTGTGATATTGGCTGTGGGTTTGTCATAAATAGCTCTTATTGAGATGTTCCATCAATACCTAGTTTATTGAGAGTTTTTAGCGTGAAGCGCTATTGCATTTTATCGAAGGCCTTTTCTGCATCTATTGAGATAATAATGTGGTTTTTGTCATTGGTTGTTTATTTGATGGATTATGTTTATTGATTTGCATGTGTTAAACCAGTCTTGTATTCCAGGGATGAAGCCGACTTGATTGTGGTGGATACGCTTTTTGATGTGCTGCTGAAATTGGTTTGCCAGTGTGTTATTGACGATTTTTGCATCGATGTTCATCAGGGATATTGGCCTGAATTTTTTGTCATGTCTCTGCCAGGTTTTGGTATCAGGATGATGCTGGCATCGTAAAATGAGTTAGGGAGGAGTCCCTCTTTCTCCACTGCTCAGAATAGTTTCAGAAGGAATGGTACCAGCTCCTCTTTGTTCCTCTGGTAGAATTTGGCTGTGAATCTGTCTTGTCCTGGTCTTTTTTTTGGTTGGTAGGCTATTACTGCCTCAGTTTCAGAACTTATTATCGGTCTCTTCATGGGTTCAACTTCTTTCTTGTTTGGTCTTGGGAGGGTATATGTGTCCAGAAATTTATCCATTTCTTCTAGATTTTCTAGTTTGCATAGAGGTGTTTATAGTATTCTCTGATAGTAGTTTATATTTCTGTGGGATCAATGGTGATATCTCCTTTATCATTTTTTATTGTATCTATTTGATTCTTTATTAGTCTGGCTAGTTGTATATTTGTTGATCTTTTCAAAAAACCAGCTCCTGGATTCATTGTTTTTTGTTTGTTTTTGTTTTTTCTGTGTGTGTGTGTGTGTGTGTGTTTGTTTTTTTTTTTTTTGGCGGGGTTGGGGGTGTGTGTGGTTTTTATGTCTCTGTCTCCTTCAGTTCTGTTCTGATCTTATTTCTTGTCTTCTGCTAGCTTTTAAATTTGTTTCTTCTTCTCTAATTCTTTGAATTGTGATGTTAGGGTGTCAATTTTAGATCTTTCCTGCTTTCTTCTGTGGTCATTTAGTGCTATAAATTTGCCTCTAAAGATTGCTTTAGCTGTGTCCCAGAGATTCTGGTACATTGTGTCTTCGTTCTCATTGGTTTCAAAGAACTTATTTATTTCTGCCCTAATTTCGTTATTTACCCAGTAGTCATTCAGGAGCAGGTTGTTTAGTTTCCATGTAGTTGTGTGGCTTTGAGGGAGTTTCCTAATCCTGAGTTCTAATTTGATTGCACTGTGGTCTGAGAGACTGTTATGATTTCCATTCCTGTACATTTGCTGAGGAGTCTTTTATTTCCAATTATGTGGTCAATTTTAGAATAAGTATGATGTGGTACTAAGAAGAATGTATATTCTGTTGATTTGGGGTAGAGAGTTCTGTAGATGTCTATTAGGTCTGCTTGGTCCAGAGCTGAGTTCAAAGTCCTGAATATCCTTGTTAATTTTCTCTCTTGTTGATCTGTTTAATATTGACAGTGGGGTGTTAAAGTCTCCCACTATTATTGTGTGTGAGTCTAAGTCTCTTTGAAGGTCTCTAAGAACTTCTTTTATGAATCTGGGTGCTCCTGTATTGGGTGCATATATATTTAGGATAGTTAGTTCTTGTTGCATTGATCCCTTTACCACTATGTAATACCCTTATTTGTCTCTTTTTTGATTTTTATTGGTTTAAAGTCTCTTTTATCAGAGGCTATGATGGCAACCCCTGCTTTTTTTTTTTCTTTCCATTCGCTTGGTAAATATTCTTCCGTCTCTTTTATTTTGAGCCTATATATGTCTTTGCACTTGAGATGGGTCTCCTGATTACAGCACACTGATATGTCTGACTCTTTATCCAATTTGCCAGTCTCTGTCTTTCAATTGGGGCATTTAGCCTGTTTACATTTAGGGTTAATATTGTTATGTGTGAATTTGATCCTGTCATTATGATGCTAGCCCATTATTTTCCCCATTAGTTGATGCAGTTTCTTCATACTATTGGTGGTCTTTACAATCTGGTATGTTTTTGCAGTGGCTTGTACTGGTTTTTCCTTTCCATATTTAGTGCTTCCTTCAGGAGCTTTTGTAAGGTAGGCCTGGCAGTGACAAAATCTCTCAGCATTTGCTTCTCTGTAAACAATTTTATTTCTCCTTCACTTATGAAGTTTAGTTTGGCTGGATATGAAATTCTGGGTTGAAAACTCTTTAAGAATGTTGAATATTGGCCCCCACTCTCTTCTGGCTTGTAGGGTTTCTGCAGAGAGATCAGCTGTTAGTCTGATGGGCTTCCCTTTGTGGGTAACACGGCCTTTCTCTATGGCTGCCCTTAACTTTTTTTCCTTTGTTTCAACCTTGGTGAATCTGACGATTATGTCTCAGGGTTGTTCTTCTCGAGGGAGTATCTTTGTGGTGTTCTGTGTATTTCCTAAATTTGAATGTTGGCCTGTCTTGCTAGGTTGGGGACTCTTCTGGATAATATCCTGAAGGATGTTTTCCAACTTGTTTCCATTCTGCCTGTCACTTTCAGGTACACCAATCTAATGTAGGTTTGGTCTTTTCACATAATCCCCTATTTCTTGGAGGCTTTGTTCCTTTTCATTCTTTTTTTCTCTAATCTTGTCTTCACACTTTATTTCATTAAGTTGATCTTCAATCTGATATCCTTTCTTCTGCTTGATCAATTCAGCTATTGATACTTGTGTATGTTTCACGAAGTTCTCATGCTATGTTTTTCAACTCCATGAGGTCATTTATGATCTTCTCTAAACGTTTGTTCTAGTTAGCAATTCCTCTAACCTTTTTTCAAGGTTCTCAGCCTCCTTGAATTGGGTTAGAACGTGTTCCTTTTGCTTGGAGGAGTTTGCTATTAGCCACCTTCTGAAGACTACTTCTGTCAATTCGTCAAACTCATTCTCTGTCCAGTTTTGTTCACTTGCTGGTGTGGAGTTGTGCTCCTTTGGAGGAGAAAAGGTGTTTTGGTTTATGGAATTTTCAGCCTTTTTGCTGTGTTTTTTTTCTCATCTTTGTGGATTTATCTATCTTTGGTCTTTAATGCTGGTGACTTTTGGATGGGGTTTTTGTGTGGACGTCCTTTTTGTTGATGTTGATGCTATTCCTTTCTGTTTCAGTTTTCCTTCTAACAGTCAGGGCCCTCTGCTGCAGGTCTGCTGGAGGTCTACTGCAGACCCTGTTTGCCTGGGTATCACCAGCAGAGGCTGCAGAACAGTGAAGATTGCTGCCTGTTCCTTCCTCTGGAAGCTTCATCCCAAAGGGGCACCTGCCAGATGGCAGCCAGAGCTCTCCTGTATGAGGTGTCTGTTGGCCTCTGCTGGGAGGTGTCTCCCAGTCAGGAGGCATGGGAGTCAGGGACCCATTTGAGGCAGTCTGACCCTTAGTAGAGCTCAAGCACTGTGCTGGGAGATCTGCTCGCTTCAGAGCCGGCAGGCAGGAACTTTCAAGTCTGCTGAAACTGCACCTATAGCAGCCCCTTTTCCCAGGTTCTCTGTCTCCAGAGAGATGGGAGTTTTATCTATGAGCCCCTGACTGGGGCTGCTGCCTCTGAGATGCCCTGCCCAGAGAGGAGGAATCTAGAGAGGCAGTCTGGCTATAGTGGCTTTGCCAAGCTGTAGTGGGCTCTGCCCAGTTTGAACTTCCCAGTGGCTTTGTTTTACACTGAGGGGAAAACTGCCTACTCAAGCCTCAGTAATGGTGGATGCCCCTTCCTCCACCAAGGTCGAGCATCCCAGGTTGACTTCAGACTGCTGTTGTTGGCAGTGGGAATTTCAAGCCAGTGGATCTTAGCTTGCTGGGCTCTGGGGGGTGGGATCCACTGAGCTAGACCACTCAGCTCCCTGGCTTCAGCCCCCTTTCCAGGGGAGTGAACGGTTCAGTCTCGCTGGTATTCTAGACACCACTGGGGTATGAAAAAAACTGCAGCTAGCTCAGTGTCTGCCCAATTGGCTGCCCAGTTTTGTGCTTGAAACCCAGGGCCCTAGTGTCTTGGGCACCCGAGGGAATCTCCTGGTCTGTGGGTTGCAAAGACGGTGGGAAAAGTGTAGTATCTGGGCCAGAATGCACCATTCCTGAAGGTACAGTCCCTACCAGATTCCCTTGGCTAAGGGAGGGAGTTCCCAGACCCCTTGCACTTCCCAGGTGAGGCAACACCCCACCCTGCTTGCTTGCCCTCTGTGGGCTGTACCCACTGTCTAACAAGTCCCAGTGAGATGAGCCACGTACCTCAGTTGGAAATGCAGAAATCACCCGCCTTGTGTGTAGATCTTACTGGGAGCTGCAGACTGGAGCTGTTACTATTTGGCCATTTTGCCAGCCACCCTGGAAAAAAAAAAAACTTTTCTTGTGGCTACTGAAAATGAATTCCTCCTTTTACTCCAAAAGGAAAGTAGTTCTATTGCCTGCAACTCTCACTTGAAGACCACATAGCTTCAGCAAGGCAGCCTGCCTTCTCTTAATCCTCGCTCAAATATGATGACACACACTAACCCCAGCCATCTGTTGAAACACTTCCTCAAACACTCAGCACAGTGGTGTGTCAAGACAGGCTGCCAAGTCCAATTGCTCAATCACGATTACTTTTGCACTCACCTAATGCATAGTCAATGTGCAGTAAATATTTGAAGTAAATGAAACTGAGCTCTGAGCATGGCCACATTGGGTAGTTCTAAGTTATTTTCTGTTTTGTTCTCTGTGATTCTCCAAACTATCTTTAAATTCTTACTAAAAGTTACATCTGAAACTCGACTCCACTGTGGGAAATTGAAGGGCCAATATCACACTTGGAAAAGAATAACGAATACTTAGAAGCAGTGGTTTTACCACCATCATAAATTGATGTCCCCACCTATAGCTGTATTCCCAGCTAAATCTAGGCCTGGGACATTAAACCTCCACGAGGAAAGTGGTGCAATGATTCAGATACTGGTGTTTGCAAAGTGTTTTACATACAGAATTGTTAGAATTGTCTTTAGAAGATAGGTTTATCTAACATCTTGCATCTATTATATGTACTAATACCATTTTCTTATGGGGTCTCCTAGTTGACTTAAGTTACTTTTTCTTGCTCCCTGTATGTTGCTTTGTGGAAATGCTTTTCACTGGGAAAGGCAGTAGTTACCTAACCTTAAAGTTCAGCAATACTGGATTGCAGTTTTGACCCAGGGTAGACAACCAGTTTCTTATACCTTTGGACATATGATGGTCCAAAGGCAGATAAAAGAGCATAACAGTGTCAATCAATGTTCTTTTCAGTCCCCCGACCCAGTGGATATTGGAAGGTCTACAGAACTCTCATGTATTAACGACCTTGAGTCTTGAACTGTCCCATGGTCATATTTTCCACCAATGTAAATACTGGGACAAAAAGCAAGCTATAAAATGCAGAGATACAAGAGAAAAAAGGAGGATGTTTTTGAAGACAACTTGGAATTAAGTCTAATAATGTCTTGACCTTCCCATGTATGTAATCCAATAAACTATTTTATGTAATTCTGTCAAATTCAGCTTAATCAGAAATAGGACTTGCAAATATTTTCCTCATTCTGTGGGTTGCCTTCGGATTCTCTTTGTAGTTTCTTTTCACGCAAAGATGTTTCAATTTTTATGAAGTCCAATTTATCTGTCTTTTTTTCTCCTTTCATTGTGCTTTTTTTTGTCACTTGTGTTGATTTTCAGCAATTTTAGCCCTGTGGCTACAGGACGTAAGATTCTCCTTCCCAACAAACCCATGCATTGCTTGATCTGGGAATTTCACCCATGAGCTCATCCTTGTCTTTCCCTTAACACTGTCTGGCAACATTAGGTGCCACCAACCAACTAATTATATTCTTTAGTTTTTCCACTAATGTGAAAAAGTATCTCATGTAGAGTCACCAATTTCCTTGCCTCCTATGGGTCATTAAGTAGAGTATGATTGCAGATGTCTTGTACATCTCTATAAACAATTCAGGCCATGGACTATCATTGTTTTCTGTATTACTGAAAATAGTCCTCAGTGTTTTCAAGTCTAATCTTAGGGAGACAATCTAGAAACCCCACAACCAATCAACCAGTACAGAAAACTTATACTTAGATTCCTGTTCCTCTAGAACCACTCCTGTTACCAAAATCTATTAGTTAGGGTTCTCCTAAAAAACGGAACCAATTGTGTGTTGGTGTGTGTGTGTGTGTATGTATGTGTATGTGAGAGGGGATTTATCAGGAGCATTAGCTCATGTAATTATGGAGGCATATGGAGGCACCATATACCATTTACAAGCTGGAGAAGCAGGGAGCCAGTAGCATGGCTCAGTCCATATATGAAGCCTTGAGAGCCAGCAGAGCCAATACTTTATCTTTCAGCCTGAAGCTGAAAGCTTGAAGCCCGGGGAGCCACTTGTAGATGTCCTAGAGTTCAAAGACCACTGAAATTGGGGCTCTCATTTCAAAGGGGAGGAAAAAAGTGGTGTCCCAGCTCCATAAAAGAGAAAGAGACCAAATTCACCTTTCCTCTGCTATCTTCTGAGCCCTCAGCCAATAGGATTGTGCCTTCCCATAGTGGTGATGGTGGCACTTCCTTAGTTAATCATTAATTCAAATGCCAGTATCTTCCAGGATTATCCTCAGATACACCCCAAAATGATGCTTTACCATTTTGTAATGGTAGTCGAGGTACCATTTAATACATCCCAGTTGACACATAAAATGAACCATTACACGTGTTATATTTTTCATGATTTGACCCATTTATCAAAAAGGGATACCCCATTTTATTCTTTACTTTATTGTACTTTGCAGATATTACATTTTTTTTTTTTTAACAAATTCAAGATTAGTGACATCCCTTTTGAGCAAGTCCACGGGTGCATTTTTCCAACAGCACATGCTCACTTCATGTCCTTGGGTCAAATTTTGGTAATTCTTAAGATATTTCATACTTTATTATTTTACCTGTTTTACTGGTCTGTCATCAGTGATCTTTGATGTTATTATAATTGTTTTTGGGAGCCATGAACTGTGACCAGATAACATGGCGAACATTCGATAAATGTTTTCTGAATGTTCCACCAACTGGTTGTTTCCTAGTCTCTCTCCTTCTCAGCACCAACCCTCCCCTGTTCCCTGAGAAACAACAACATTGAAATTAGGCAAATTAGTAATCCTACAATGGCCTCTAGGTGTTCAAGTGAAAGGAAGAATTGCACATCTCTAACTTGAAAACAAATGATTAAGCTTACTGAGGAAGGCATGTTGAAAGCTAAGATAGGCTGGAAGCTAGGTCTGTTGAACTAACTTTTTGAGGCAGTCTCGCTCTGTCACCCAGGCTGGAGTGCAGTGGCACGATCTTGGCTCACTGCAACCTCCACCTCCTGGGTTCAAGCGATTCTCCTGCCTCAGCCTCTTGAGTAGCTGGGATTACAGGCATGCACCACCACGCCTGGCTAATTTTTGTATTTTTAGTAGAGACAGGGTTTCACCATGTTGGTCAGGCTGGTCTCAAACTCCTGACCTTGTGATCTGCCCGCCTCAGCTTCACAAAGTGCTGGGATTACAGGTGTCAGCCACCACATCCAGCGTGTTGCACTAATTTTTAGCCAAATCATGAATGCAAAGGAAACGTTCTTAAATTCAAATACTACCGCAGTAAATACACAAATGATTAGAAAGCAACAAAACAGCCTTATTGCTGATATGGAGAAAGTTTTGACAGTGTGGGTCCACCAGCCACAACATTCTCTTCCACCAAAGCCTAGTCTGGAGCAAACCCTAACTCTTCTAGTCCAGGAAGGTTGATAGAGATGAGGAAGCTGCAGAGGAAAACATGGGATCTACCAGAGATTGGTTTGAGATTGAAGGAAAGACACCATCTCTATAACAAATGCTACGTGAAGCAGCAAGTGGTGCTGGAAAAGCTGTAGCAAGTTATCCAGACTTACCAAGATCATTAATGAAGGTAGCTACACTATAGATTTTCAATGTAGAAAAGATAGCCTTTTATTGAAAGATGATGCCATGTAGGACATTTATGTCTCAAGAGAAATCAATAGCTGGCTTCAAATCTTCAAAGGACAGGCTGACTCTCTTGTTATGAGATAGTGCAGCTGGTGATATTCAGTGAAGCCAATGCTCATTTACATTCCAACAATCCTAGGGCCCTTAAGATTTAAGCTAAATCTATCCTGCAAGTGTTCTGTAAATCGAGCAAGAAAGCCTGGATATCAGTGTATCTCTTTAAATAATAGCTCACTGAATATTTTGATTCCATTGTTAAGGCTCACTGCTCAGAAAAATTTCTATGACAATATTGCTTGTTTTTTGTTGACAATGCACCTAATCACCCAAGAGCTTTGTTGGAGATGTATACAGAGATTACTGTTGTCTCTACCTGCCAACACAGCATCCATTTTGTGTCCCACAGATTGTGGAGTTAATTTTGATTTTTTTTTTCTACTCTTGCTGTTCACAAAATATATTTAATAAAGCTATAGCTGCCATAGATAGTGATTCCTACAAAGAATGTAGACAAAGTAAATGGAAAACCTGGAAGGGATTTATTCTAAATGCCATTAGAAACATTCATGATTCATGGGACGAGGGCCAAATATTAACATTAATGGGAGTTTTGGAAGAAATTGATTTCAACTCTTCTGGATGACTTTAAGGGATTGAAGACTTCAGTGGAGAAATTAAATGCAGATGTGGTAGATATAGCAAGAGAACTAGAATTAGAATTGGAGCTTGAATGTTATGGAATTGTAATCTCATGATACAATTTTAACAAATGAAGAGTAGCTTTTTACGGATGAGCAAAGAAAGGGGTTTGGTAAAATGGATTCTAATCCTGATGAAGATGCTGTGAGCATTGTTGAAATGACAAAGCATTTAGAATATTGCATACACGTACTTAATAAAGCAGTGGCAGGATTATAGAATTGACGGAGTTTGCAGTAAGTTCTGCTAGGGGTAATGGGCTATCAAACAGCATAATGTGACAGAGAAATATTTCAGGAAAGGAAGCATCAATTAGTGCAGCAGACTTCATTTTTGCCTTTAGAAAAATACATTGTCGCAGCAACTCCAACCTTCAATAACTACCCTAATCAGTCAGCAGTCAACATCAAGGAAAGACTTTCTACCAGCAAAGAGATTTTCCTTTGCTGATGGCTCTTTTGATAATACAGTATTTTAAAATTAAGGTATGTATATTTTCTTTAGACAGAATGCTATTGTATACCTAATAGATTACAATACAGTGTAAACATTCTATGGGCACTAGGAATTCAAACAACTTTTGTCACTCATTGGGCTATTTGCTTAATTGGGGTAGTCTGGAACTGAAGCTGCAATATTTCTAGGGTATGCCTATAATTAATGTCTTGTTTATATTTTGTCACAGTTTTTGAGTAGATTTTGATCCTATAATTGTAAAATCTATTCTGCCAATCGATTTGCTTTTGAAATAGAAATTTAATCTGTTTAAGCCCATGCCTCTCACAGGCCCACATGCCCCTCAGTCCACCTCCCCCCTCAGACCAATGCCTGCCTCTTCTGCTCTCCCCCATCACACCCAACCCCCTCGGGGGCCGTCCCTGCTCAGACCCACACCCCTCTCAGCCGACCTCCTCTCGCAGACCTACGCCCCTTCACCTGGACCTGCCTCAGACCCGGGGCCCTGCCTCAGACCACCTCCCCCCTCAGAATCACGCCCCTCTCAGAACACCTCCTCCTCAGGCTCACTGCCCTCTCAGACCACCTCCCTTCTCAGCACACATAATAATATTTTGGTCAATGACAAACCACATATACAACAGCAGTTTCATAACTTAATAGCTTATTTTTATTGTACCATTTCCATGTTAAAATATATTTGGATATGTAAATACTATCCATCGTGCTACACTTGCCCATGGTATTCAGTGCAGGAGCATGCTGTGCAGGTTTGTAGCCTCGGACCCATATTTTTACTCTTTTTTTAAATTTTTAAAATTTATTTTATTATTATACTTTAAGTTTTAGGGTACATGTGCACAATGTGCAGGTTAGTTACATATGTATACATGTGCCATGCTGGTGTGCTGCACCCATTAACTCGTCATTTAGCATTAGGTATATCTCCTAATGCTACCCCTCTCCCCTCCCCCACCCCACAACAGTCCCCAGAGTGTGATGTTCCCTTTCCTGTGTCCATGTGTTCTCATTGTTCAATTCCCACCTATGAGTGAGAACATGCGGTGTTTGGTTTTTTGTCCTTGCAATAGTTTACTGAGAATGATGATTTCCAATTTCATCCATGTCCCTACAAAGGACATGAACTCATCATTTTTTATGGCTGCATAGTATTCCATGGTGTATATGTGCCACATTTTCTTAATCCAGTCTATCATTGTTGGACATTTGGGTTGGTTCCAAGTCTTTGCTATTGTGAATAGTGCCACAATAAACATACGTGTGCATGTGTCTTTATAGCAGCATGATTTATAGTCCTTTGGGTATATACCCGGTAATGGGATATGGTAAGCGATATGGTAATGGGTCAAATGGTATTTCTAGTTGTAGATCCCTGAGGAATCGCCACACTGACTTCCACAATGGTTGAACTAGTTTACAGTCCCACCAACAGTGTAAAAGTGTTCCTATTTCTCCACATCTCTCCAGCACTTGTTGCTTCCTGACTTTTTAATGATTGCCATTCTAACTGGTGTGAGATGGTATCTCATTGTGGTTTTGATTTGCATTTCTCTGATGGCCAGTGATGGTGAGCATTTCTTCATGTGTCTTTCGGCTGCATAAATGTCTTCTTTTGAGAAGTGTCTGTTCATATCCTTTGCCCACTTTTTGATGGGGTTGTTTGTTTTTTTCTTGTAAATTTGTTTGAGTTCATTGTAGATTTTGGATATTAGCCCTTTGTCAGATGAATAGGTTGTGAAAATTTTCTCCCATTTTGTAGGTTGCCTGTTCATGCTGATGGTAGTTTCTTTTGCTGTGCAGAAGCTCTTTAGTTTAATTAGGTCCCATTTGTCAATTTTGGCTTTTGTTGCCATTGCTTTTGGTGTTTTAGACATGAAGTCCTTGCCCATGCCTATGTCCTGAATGGTAATGCCTAGGTTTTCTTCTAGGGTTTTTATGGTTTTAGGTCTAACGTTTAAGTCCTTAATCCATCTTGAATTAATTTTTGTGTAAGGTGTAAGGAAAGGATCCAGTTTCAGCTTTCTACATATGGCTAGCCAGTTTTCCCAGCACCATTTATTAAATAGGGAATCCTTTCCCCATTGCTTGTTTTTCTCAGCTTTGTCAAAGATCAGATAGTTGTAGATATGTGGCATTATTTCTGAGGGCTCTGTTCTGTTCCATTGATCTATATCTCTGTTTTGGTACCAGTACCATGCTGTTCTGGTTACTGTAGCCTTGTAGTATAGTTTGAAGTCAGGTAGTGTGATGCCTCCAGCTTTGTTCTTTTGGCTTAGGATTGACTTGGCAATGCGGGCTCTTTTTTGGTTCCATATGAACTTTAAAGTAGTTTTTTCCAATTCTGTGAAGAAAGTCATTGGTAGCTTGATGGGGATGGCATTGAATCTATAAATTACCTTGGGCAGTATGGCCATTTTCACGATATTGATTCTTCCTACCCATGAGCATGGAATGTTCTTCCATTTGTTTGTATCCTCTTTTATTTCATTGAGCAGTGGTTTGTAGTTCTCCTTGAAGAGGTCCTTCACATCCCTTGTAAGTTGGGTTCTTAGGTATTTTATTCTCTTTGAAGCAATTGTGAATGGGAGTTCACTCATGATTTGGCTCTCTGTTTGTCTGTTATTGGTGTATAAGAATGCTTGTGATATTTGTACATTGATTTTGTATCCTGAGACTTTGCTGAAGTTGCTTATCAGCTTAATGAGATTTTGGGCTGAGACAATGGGGTTTTCTAGGTATACAATCATGTCATCTGCAAACAGGGACAATTTGACTTCCTCTTTTCCTAATTGAATACCCTTTATTTCCTTCTCCTGCCTAATTGCCTTGGCCAGAACTTCCAACACTATGTTGAATAGGAGTGGTGAGAGAGGGCATCCCTGTCTTGTGCCAGTTTTCAAAGGGAATGCTTCCAGTTTTTGCCCATTCAGTATGATATTGGCTGTGGGTTTGTCATAGATAGCTTATTATTTTGAGATACGTGCCATCAATACCTAATTTATTGAGAGTTTTTAGCATGAAGCATTGTTGAATTTTGTCAAAGGCCTTTTCTGCATCTATTGAGATAATCATGTGGTGTTTGTCTTTGGTTCTTTTTATATGCTGGATTACATTTATTGATTTGTGTATATTGAACCAGCCTTGCATCCCAGGGATGAAGCCCACTTGATCATGGTGGATAAGCTTTTTGATGTGCTGCTGGATTCGGTTTGCCAGTATTTTATTGAGGATTTTTGCATCAATGTTCATCAGGGATATTGGTCTAAAATTCTCTTTTTTGGTTGTGTCTCTGCCCGGCTTTGGTATCAGGATGATGCTGGCCTCGTAAAATGAGTTAGGGAGGATTCCCTCTTTTTCTATTGATTGGAATAGTTTCAGAAGGAATGGTACCAGTTCCTCCTTGTACCTCTGGTAGAATTCGGCTGTGAATCCATCTGGCCCAGGACTCTTTTTGGTTGGTAAGCTATTGATTATTGCCTCGATTTCAGAGCCTGTTATTGGTCTATTCAGAGATTCAACTTCTTCCTGGTTTAGTCTTGGGAGGGTGTATGTGTCGAGGAATTTATCCATTTCTTCTAGATTTTCTAGTTTATTTGCGTAGAGGTGTTTGTAGTGTTCTCTGATGGTAGTTTGTATTTCTGTGGGATCGGTGGTGATATCCCCTTTATCATTTTTATTGTGTCTATTTGATTCTTCTCTCTTTTTTTCTTTATTAGTCTTGCCAGCAGTCTATCAATTTTGTTGATCCTTTCAAAAAACCAGCTCCTGGATTCATTGATTTTTTGAAGGGTTTTTTGTGTCTCTATTTCCTTCAGTTCTGCTCTGATTTTAGTTATTTCTTGCCTTCTGCTAGCTTTTGAATGTGTTTGCTCTTGCTTTTCTAGTTCTTTTAATTGTGATGTTAGGGTGTCAATTTTGGATGTTTCCTGCTTTCTCTTGTGGGCATCTAGTGCTATAAATTTCCCTCTACACACTGCTTTGAATGTGTCCCAGAGATTCTGGCATGTTGTGTCTTTGTTCTTGTTGGTTTCAAACAACATCTTTATTTCTGCCTTCATTTTGTTATGTACCTAGTAGTCATTCAGGAGCAGGTTGTTCAGTTTCCATGTAGTTGAGCAGTTTTGAGTGAGTTTCTTAATCCTGAGTTCTAGTTTGATTGCACTGTGGTCTGAGAGACAGTTTGTTATAATTTCTGTTCTTTTACATTTGTTGAGGAGAGCTTTACTTCCAACTATGTGGTCAATTTTGGAATAGGTGTGGTGTGGTGCTGAAAAAAATGTATATTCTGTTGATTTGGGGTGAAGAGTTCTGTAGATGGCTATTAGATCTGCTTGTTGCAGAGCTGAGTTCAATTCCTGGGTATTCTTGTTAACTTTCTGTCTCATTGATTTGTCTAATGTTGACAGTGGGGTGTTAAAGTCTTCCATTATTATTGTGTGGGAGTCTAATTCTCTTTGTAGGTCACTCAAGACTTGCTTTATGAATCTGGGTGCTCCTGTATTGGGTGCATATATATTTAGGATAGTTAGCTCTTCTTGTTGAATTGATCCGTTTACCATTATGTAATGGCCTTCTTTGTCTCTTTTGATGTTTGTTGGTTTAAAGCCTGTTTTATCAGAGACTAGGATTGCAACCCCTGCCTTTTTTTTGTTTTCCATTTGCTTGGTAGATCTTCCTCCATCCTTTTATTTTGAGCCTATGTGTGTCTCTGCACGTTAGATGCGTTTCCTGAATACAGCACACTGATGGGTCTTGACTCTTTATCCAATTTGCCAGTCTGTGTCTTTTAATTGGAGCATTTAGTCCATTTACATTTAAAGTTAATATTGTTATGTGTGAATTTGATCCTGTCATTATGATGTTAGCTGGTTATTTTGCTCGTCAGTTGATGCAGTTTCTTCCGAGCCTCGATGGTCTTTACAATTTGGCATTATTTTGTAGTGGCTGGTACTGGTTGTTCCTTTCCACATTTAGTGCTTCCTTTAGGAGCTCTTTTAGGGCAGGCCTGGTGGTGACAAAATCTCTCAGCATTTGCTTGTCTGTAAAGTATTTTATTTCTCCTTCACTTATGAAGCTTAGTTTGGCTGGATATGAAATTCTGTGTTGAAAATTCTTTTCTTTAAGGATGTTGAATATTGGCCCCCACTCTCTTCTGGCTTGTAGAGTTTGGCAAGAGATCTGCTGTTAGTCTGATGAGCTTCCCTTTGTGGGTAACCCGACCTTTCTCTCTGGCTGCCCTTAACATTTTTTCCTTCATTTCAACTTTGGTGAATCTGACAATTAGGTGTCTTGGAGTTGCTCTTCTCAAGGAGTATATTTGTGGCATTCTCTGTATTTCCTGAATCTGAATGTGGGCCTGCCATGCTAGATTGGGGAAGTTCTCCTGGATAATATCCTGCAGAGGGTTTTCCAGCTTGGTTCCATTCTCCCAGTCACTTTCAGGTACACCAATCAGACATAGAATTGGTCTTTTCATATAGTCCCATATTTCTTGAAGGCTTTGTTCGTTTCTTTTTATTTTTTTTTCTCTAAACTTCCCTTCTCACTTTATTTCATTCATTTCATCTTCCATCACTGATACCCTTTCTTCCAGTGGATTGCATCAGCTCCTGAGGCTTCTGCATTCTTCATGTAGTTCTCAAGCCTTGGCTTTCAGCTCCATCAGCTCCTTTAAGCACTTCTCTGTATTCGTTATTCTAGTTATACATTCGTCTAAATTTTTTTCAAAGTTTTTAACTTCTTTGCCTTTGGTTTGAATTTCCTCCTGTAGCTCGGAGTAGTTTGATCGTCTGAAGCCTTCTTCTCTCAACTTGTCAAAGTCATTCTCTGTCCAGCTTTGTTCCGTTGCTGGTAAGGAACTGTGTTCCTTTGGAGGAGGAGAGGCACTCTGCTTTTTAGAGTTTCCAGTTTTTCTGTTCTGTTTTTTCCCCATCTTTGTGGTTTTATCTACTTCTGGTCTTTGATAATGGTGATGTACAGATGGGTTTTTGGTGTGGATGTCCTTTCTGTTTGTTAGTTTTCCTTCTAACAGACAGGACCCTCAGCTGCAGGTCTGTTGGAGTTTGCTGGAGGTCCACTCCAGACCCTGTTTGCCTTGGTATCAGCAGCAGAAATTGCAGAACAGCAGATTTTCGTGAACCGTGAATGCTGCTGTCTGATCATTCTTCTGGAAGTTTTGTCTCAAAGGAGTACCTGGCCGTTTGAGGTTTCAGTCTGCCCCTACTGAGGGGTGCCTCCCAGTTAGGCTGCTCAGGGGTCGGGTCAGGGACCCACTTGAGGAGGCAGTCTGCCCGTTCTGAGATCTCCAGCTGCATGCTGGGAGAACCACTGCTGTCTTCAAAGCTGTCAGACAGGGACATTTAAGTCTGCAGAGGTTACTGCTGTCTTTTTGTTTGTCTGTGCCCTGCCCCGAGAGGTGGAGCCTACAGAGGCAGGCAGGCAGGCCTCCTTGATCTGTGGTGGGCTCCACCCAGTTCGAGCTTCCAGGCTGCTTTGTTTACCTAAGCAAGCCTGGGCAATGGCAGGCGCCCCTCCCCCAGCCTCGCTGTGGCCTTGCAGTTGATCTCAGACTGCTGTGCTAGCAATCAGCAAGACTCTGTGGGCATAGGACCCTCCGAGCCATGTGCGGGATATAATCTCCTGGTGTGCCGTTTTTTAAGCCCTTTGGAAAAGCACAGTATTAGGGTGGGAGTGACCTGATTTTCCAGGTGCTGTCTTTCACCCCTTTCTTTGACTAGGAAAGGGAACTCCCTGACCCCTTGTGCTTCCCGAGTGAGGCAATGCTTCGCCCTGCTTCGGCTCGCGCACGGTGCACTGCACCCACTGTCCTGTGCCCACTGTCTGGCACTCCCTAGTGAGATGAACCCGGTACCTGAGATGGAAATGCAGAAATCACCCATCTTCTGCGTCGCTCACGCTGGGAGCTGTAGACCGGAGCTGTTCCTATTCGGCCATCTTGGCTGCCCTCCCCTGGTTCTTACTTTTTATTTGTTTTTCAGATCATTTGAATTTCTTATTTACCTGTGTAGACACTGTGGTTTCTTCTTATAGGGCGTCTTACAGTATCCTTAAAGACTCCCTCCTCTGGGCGGATCACGAGGGCACGAGGGCAAGAGATCGAGACCATCCTGGCCAACATGGTGAAACCCCGTCTCTACTAAAAATACAAAAATCAGCTGGGCGTAATGGCAGGTGCTTGTAATCCCAGCTCCCCATATTTTTATTCTGTAAATTTCTTTTTTGAGTCAGAGTTTCGCTCTGTCACCCAGGCTGGAGTGCAGTGGTGCCATCTCGGCTCACTGCAACCTCCCTGGTTCAAGCGGTTCTCCTACCTCAGCCTCTCAAGTAGCTGGGATTACAGGTGTGTACCACCATGCCTGGCTAATTTTTGTATCTTTAGTAGAGACAGAGTTTCACCATGTTGGCCAGGCTGGTCTCAAACTCCTGACCTCAAGTGGTCCGCCTGCCTGTCTCCCAAAGTGCTGGGATTACAGGCATGAAACACCGTGTCCAGCCCCATATTCTATATCATATAGCTTTAATGAATAGTAAGCTATGCCATCCAAGTTCATGTAATTATACTCCCTCATCTTTGCACAAAGAAAGATGAAATTGCCTAATAAAGCCTCTTTCAGAAGAGGTGTGATGTGATGCATGATTGAATTAGTGACAGGGAAAATGTGACTTTTGCTATTTTCCGTCTTTCCTTTCTGTCCATAGCTTTTTTGTCCTTCATATCCACAGTTACTATTTTTTTGGTGTGTTTGCATGACTTTTAGAAGTGACATTGGGATTCCCATATCATTTCCTCTTAAGTATATTCTATAGTTATTTTCTTTGTGGTTGCTGTGAGGATGACATACAACTTTATAAAGTTATAACAATTTGCTTAGAATCAATACCAATTTACTGTGAATCAATACCAATCTACCAGTATTTCATAAACCTTTCCACAGGGTTTCTTTCTCTTCATCTCACATTACTTTTGTCAGTGAGATTACACATTATGTACATATTAATTTAGTGTTATTTGCATACATTTATATTTCAAATCTTGAGATAAATGGAGTAAAAATGTGAACTTCAAAAATACATTTTTTTCATATTTTATCCTATATAGAGAGACAAGCAGTCTTTATACATCTTTATGGGTTTGAGTTACTGTCTTTTATTTCAGCCTGAAGTACTGACTTTAGCATCATTTCTTCCTTTTTCTTTTTCTTCCTTTTTTTTTTTTTTTTTTTTTTTTGAGGTGGAGTCTCACTCTGTTGCTCAGGCTGGAGTGCAATGGCGTGATCTTGATCTTGGCTCACTGCAACCTCCACCTCCCGGGTTCAAGCAATTCTCTTCCCTCAGCCTCCTGAGTAGCTGAGATTACAGGTGCATGACAGAACACCTGGCTAATTTTCACATTTTTAGTGGAGATGAGATTTCACCATGTTGGCTAGGGTGGTTTCAAACCCCTAACCTCAAGTAATCTGCCCACCTCGGCCTCCTAAATTGCTGGGATTACGGGCGTGAACCACTGTTCCAGCCTCACTTTAGCATTTCTTATAGAAAAAATATAATGACATGAGGAATTGGATGTAACAAAATTCTGTAACCTCTGTGTGTTCCCAATTTAAGCTTTAAAAAATTCCAAGTAACTGTTTTTTTGTTTGTTTTTGAGACGCAGTCTTGCTCTTTCACCCAGGCTGGAGTGCAGTGGTACGATCTCTGCTCACTGTAAGCTCCACCTCCTGGGGTCACACCATTCTCCTGCTTCAGCCTCCTGAGTAGCTGGGACTACAGGTGCCTGCCACCGCGCCTGGCTAATTTTTTATATTTTTAGTAGAGACGGGGTTTCACCGTGTTAGCCAGGATGGTCTCGATCCCCTGACCTCGTGATCTGCCCGCCTCGGCCTCCCAAAGTGCTGGGATTACAGTCATGAGCCACCGCACCTGGCCTAAACTTTCTTTTCAAAATAAGATTTCTGTGAAAATGAAGGGTAAACAAGTAGAATAAGCCTGTAGCAGATTTACTATTTATTTTTTATTTTTTTAGATTTACTATTTATAAATGACTTCTAATTATTCACATCTTGGGGAAAATAATGTCATGCATACTAAGAAAATCTGAAATTCTTTAGCATTACATACTTGACTAATAAGTTAAAAAAACATTAATTTTTGATTATGTCAATCAACTTTACAAGACGTGAAATAATCATTACTTAGTCTAGGAACATTGAGGTGGAACAGGAAGGCAGCAATTGAAATGAGCTTTGTTTGAGTCATGCTAAGTGTGAAAGTCCATTAGGCACTAATGTAGAGATGCAGACAATATGATGTTTCATTCTGGAGTTTCGGAGAAAAAGCTCACCTGCCGATATTGATTTGTGGTTTCTTGGCCTAGAGGTTGTATTTAAAGCCATGAGAATATTTGACATCATCAAGGAAATGAGTGAAGACAGAAAACCAGTCCAAAGATCACCCAAGGGTCTTCCAAAGTTTATGGCCTCTTCCACTTCTAAGAAACAAATCATTTTAGGAAATATTGTAAACTACAAAACTTGGCAGGATATTTCTCAGCTGAAAGACATGGCTTAAGGAAACCCCTCTAATGGGGTTAAATCAGTGGAGGGTAAAAGCACTGGAAAATGTGCACAGGTCATAAACACCTGTCAGTCTCAAAGTGCTTTGGCCAGTAGCCCATAACATTGTCCCAACTTTTCAAAAAGTTGTCTGGAATGAAATTTTATTTTCTTGACTAGCTGATTAAATTTGTACCCCTACAAACTATATGAACAATTAGGTGTCTTTAGTAACTTTCAGGAATAATTGTTACAAAGTTTGAAAGCATCATGCTATTGACATACACTGTTTACAGAAGAGTTTTGAAATTTTGGATAATTAGATGTATTTGCAATTCTGAAATTAATTTGACAACATGTAATGGCTTTCAGATATTTTATATTAGTAAGTGTGCCTTTTTGAATGTATGAAATATTTCAAAAGACTGAGTAGAACAAATTAAGAGTATATTTTTAGAATCTAAAATTTGTTCTAAATGGAGCTGATATTCAGGAGAATGTGGCCAGTCACTGGTGTCTTTGATGTCCTGCTCCACCACAGCCCAGCAAGGTCACTGCTGATACTGGGCACACAGAGGAGGTCAAGGCCTGGCTCTCAGCCTTAAAACGATGTGGGAAGTTTCCTTTTATGCACAAGACGTAATTAACAAAAGAGCATGTGTTTGTATTTCCCAAGCAGAATGTGCTCAACTCCCTTCTCACCTCTCCCATATCTGACTCCTAATTATTTCTCCTGGATGGGTGCCCTCCCACCTCCCTAACCATTACCCCACAGGGATGCTGCACCCCTAGGTTGCTGGAGCTCCCATTCTTGCGATGCTGGAGGGAGGCCATTAATTGTTGGTCATCCTGTCAATATGGCTCATGTTCAGGTTCTGTGCTGTGTGTTTTCTTCTTTCTGGAAGAGCTAAAGACAGACTAACAAATATGTCACTTGCTTCTCCTCTAGAGGCTGAAAACTCCACCTACTCTCACCTCAAAAATGTCTATAAAATATTGGTTATCATCTGCTCTCTGCCCCAAACTTATAGGCAAATCAGTTTTTGGCCTTAAAGAACTAGAAGGAAAAGAAACACACAAGTAACAGAGAAAGGAGTAGGAAAAGAATCTTTAAGGAAAAACATTCAATTACTTCAAGATAAAAATTTATTATGTTTGCTTTCTGGACCATGGATATATCTAGCTAGCTGAAGTTGCCAAGCAGGAGGGGAGGGATTTAACCAGAGGCTGTGTGTCCAGTCACCAGCATAGAGACATCCTCTGCATCACCATCCACACACAGGGCCTTCTGCTAGATGTCGTGCAACACCCTCTATGCTAATATTCATCTGAAAATGGATAATCAGGATGGTCCATAAGACTGAAAAGAGAAAGGATAGTACATAAATATGGATGAAATGACTCTATTAAAAAGCTGGTAGCAAAGTGAATTTATATGAAGCTGCCATTAGTGTGAATGTTAAGAAGTTTATTTTCGGACTATTTGTAGAATGTCTTTCATGAACATGAGTTTATAATGTGTTTTTTTTTTTTTTCAAAATAAGAAAATTTTCAACTTATATTCCCTTGCCTGGAATTTATCACACAAACTACACAGGGTCAATTGTTCAAACATAGTCCTCCATATCTGTCAACAGAGCAAAGAGATATTCTGACATTTTCTATTTCAAATTCTCAATGAAAGCAGGAACTCATCTTGCATTGTTTTGAATAGAAATAAGCCAGCTATATGTTCATCATTAACAAAAAGTTTTGAGGGTTAAATGTTATTGGTAGCAATCACATATCCTTTTAAAAGAATGTATTCATTACTGACTAGCTGCTTACCATATGGAAAATATTTTCTTTGATTCAGACATGTAAATTGTCATATGTGATATGGGGTTCCATATTCAAAACCCTACAATATGCTAAGGGCAATCTTTAGGTGAAAATCACACAAAATAGAATGAATAAATGATTCATTAATATTGAATAATTGATTGGTGAGAATTACTGATGTTTGCCACTCTTCCTTTCCTTTTCATGATTTTCTATTTTACTATTTTCCTCTAAACTAATAAAGATATCTAAAAATGTTTGAGTTCTTATGATGTGCTGCTGTGCTTATCCTTTTTAATACATTATCTCATGTCTATTACTTGTTAACATCTCCACTGCAGGCAGTGACATAACTTGTTTTGCCCTCATCACATGAGTGCCTTTCTGTGAATCCTAGAACCTTGGAGCATATAGAAAAGAGTAAGATCTTTTGTCAGCTATATATTATCCCCAAAGATGGGACTTTCCAACTCTTCCCTTGATTTTTTTGTTTTTTAATGACTGAGTCTTGCTCTGTTGCCCAGGCTGGAGTGCAGTGGCATAATTTTGGCTCACTGAAACCTCTGCTTCCCGGGTTCAAGGGATTCTCCTGTCTCAGCCTCCTTAGTAGCTGGATTTGCAGGTGTGTGCCACCATGCATGGCTAATTTTTTTATTTTTAGTAGAGACAGGGTTTTGCCATTTTGGCCAGGCTGGTCTGAAACTTCTGACTTCAAGTGATTCACCTGCCTTGGCCTCCCAGAATGATGGGATTACAGGCATGAGCCACTGAGCCTGGCTCTTCCCTTGATTTTTAATCTATCTTCTCTAAAGCTTCTTTATACTCTGCATTGAGATTTCCATATTGCAAAAATTAAAGCCAAGAGTTCTATTGCCTACTAAGGGCAAACTTCCTGGAGGCAAAATGCAGTGTTTGGGTCATGAGCAAATGTCTAAAGAGAAGGAAGAAAGAAATTTGAAACAATTAAAGATACTGAATTGACATGATCTAGTGAGCAATTCCATATGGAAGAGAAGAGAATTTCTGGCATGGACACCAGTGTTGTTGGAAATGTTTTTTAGCTGATAAGAAACTGAGTGGATTTGGAAGAAAAAGCTATAAGTACAGATTTGGAAAAACATTAATCAAGCCATATGGGCAATATCTACTGTCCACTAGGCCACGGCAGAAATGCCAGGCCTACATGAAAGTTGCAGATTTAGCAATAATATTGGCTGCTCTGGAAATTTCCATGGAGTCAGGAGAGCAGAGGCACAGGTTGACCGATGCTGACCCTGGGTCCACTCACCCTGTCAGAGAACAGAGCTCTGGAGTGAATCCAGAAGGAGAGTTCCAGAGAGTTCCTGTCTCACCTCTCACTTGCACTGGCCTCTGTCTCCCTGGTATTGAGGTCACTTTCAACACCCATCTGACATTCCTCCTCTAAAAATAAACTGGGAAACCCATTTTCCAAAGTTACTTACAAATCCATGACAACATATCGATAATTTCTGTTTAGACCATCTAGAACTTTCATATCCTCTGATGTCAACTGGAATTCAAAAACCTACCAAAGAAGTAGAAAATGTTTATTCTTAGATTGCATAATTGTCAACTTGGAATAGCCAAGTATATCACACAGTAGGGTGTAGAGGCAATATGTAAAATACTTGATAAGTTTCCAAAAGTTATGAAAGACCATCTCTAAACTCTCAAGTGATTAAAGAATATCAGATAAAATATAAATCTATTCCTAGATATTACATATTGAAACTGCACAAAACTGAAGAAAAGATCTCAACAGAAACTAAAGATGGAACGAAGTTGACCTTATGTGCACATGATTGGTTCATGTACTTAGATTCAGAAGAATCTAGAGAAATTTTGAAATGTATAATTTAGACAGTTTGATGGTGATACAATTTGGATATTTGTCCCCTCCTAATCTCATGTTAAAAAGTAATTCCCCAATGATGGAAGTGGGTCCTGGTGGGAGGTGTTTGTGCCCTGGGGGCATCCCTCATGAATGGCTGGGTGCCCTCCCCATGGTAATGAGTGTTCACTGCATTAGTTCACATGAAATCTGGTTTAAAAAGGAGCCTGACATTTTCTTTTTTTCCCTCTTCATCTCTTGTTATTTGATATGTTTCCTCCTCTGTCACCTTCTACCACGAGTAAATGCTTCCTGAGCCCTCACCAAAACTAAATGCTGGTGCCATGATTTTTGTACAGTCTGCAAAATGGTAAGTCAAAACAACTTTCGGCATATTTTATCTGGCCTCGGGTACTTTATAGCAACGCACAATGGACTAATATGGAAAATTGTTACCAGGAGTGGGACATTGCTAAAAATGTCTGAAAATGTGGTAGTGGCTTTAGAACTGGATAATTAGCACAGTTTGGAAGTGTCAGGAGGGTTCAGAAGAAAATGGGAAGATAAGGGGTAGTCTGGAACTTGTTAGGCATTGGTTAAGTGATTCTGACCAAAATGCTGATTAAAAATATGGCCAACTAAGTTTAGGCTAATGAGGTCTAAGATCAAAATGAGAAACTTATTAAAAACTGGAACAAAGATCACCCTTGTTATACCTTACGAAAGAACTTGACTGCATCGTGTCCATTCCAGGACTTTGTGGAAGTCTGAACTTAGTGATGACTAAGGGTATCTGGTGGAAGAAATTTCTAAGCAGGAAAACATTCAAGAGATAGTGTGACTGCTTCTAACAGCCTATGATCAGGTATGGGTGCAAAGGAATGACCTAATGTTGGAACTTAAAGCTTCCTGAAGCCTCTCCAGAATGAGATGCTGGTGCTATGCTTTTTGTACAGCCTGCAAATTGTGAGCCAAATATAGCTCTTTTCTGTATAAATTGCCCAGCATCAAGTATTTTTTTTACAGCAGCACAAAACAGACTAATACAGATGGATATTGTTGGATTTCTATATTTCTATATTTGCCCCCATGACACAAACACCTCCCACCAGACCCCACTTCCATCACTGGGGATCACATTTTAACATGAGATTAGAAGGAGACAAATATCCAAATTGTATCACCATCAAACTGTCTAAATTATAAGTTTCAAAATTTTTCTCCAGATTCTTCCGAATCTTATAAGTACATGAACCAGTCATGTACACACCAGTTTAACTTTATTTCATCTCTAGTATCTGTTGAGATCCTCTTTGTCTGCAGCATTATACAGTTTCACATCAGATGTAGAAATACTGAAATCCAAATTTATTCATCTGTATTTCCATCTTTGACAAACAGCTATAATGTGAAAAACAATTGTTTTCAATAAAATTCAAGACAGTAATTGTCCAAATCCTAATAACATCATGCTCAAAGAACACAAATAGTTTCTTGAAGAGGGTCTCAGTATACAAATTGGAAAGAATTTAAATATCAAAAAGATGTCACTCATTGCTAACATAATACTAAATTACTAAATTTTAATGGAATACTCTAATGATACAGAGAATGAGAGGAAAAGAATAAAAATGTCATCAATTTAACAATTGATGAGTCTAGGTAAGAAGCATTCATTGTATTCTTAGAATATTTGCATAGATTAGAAAATTCTCAAAAAAAGTTATCCAAAGACTATTAAAAGTATAAGTTTTCTATGAATAAATCTAGGAAAACATACACGAATGCCTTAATAAAGAATGCTATGTAACTAATTGAAGCACATATTAAAATATCACATAAATAACTGAATATTCATATGGTCTATGGTCGTAAACTGGAAGTCTCAATCAGTTCTCACCAAATTGATCTGCAGTTTCACAGCAATTTCAGCCAGAGAACAAAATATTAGCCCTTTTGTTGAAGTTGATATTACTGAATGTTATGTAACAGAACACTCATTCAGGACTAGCCAAGCCATTATTATATAAGAGACTAAGTCAGAAAAATACTGTTACTATTATGGTAGTAAGACTTTCTATTCAACATAATCTTAAACAGTACAGGAAAGTTAACTCTGAAAGAGGGGAAATGTCAGTGAAGTACTTATGGACACTTAGGATGAAAAATCAAGATAAGTGAGCAAATATGGACTTTTCAATAATTCTTAGTAGGACATTTTAGTATCAAGTGAAGATTATGTATATGTACATTTGTACTCTTATTTCACATATTAAAAATCAAATTACTATCCCAGTTTATAAAAGCACATTAATACTTTTATAAGATATTAATAGACAATAATATATTACTTTGTATTACTACATAATATTTTACTATATAATATATTAACATATTGTCATGTTTCCAATATAGAAAAAGTCATGATATTAGCAACCACGAGAAAATGTCATAAAGAATTTGACTACATTAAGAGTAGAAACTTTTGCTTATTAAAACCACCATAAAGGGAATCAAAATACGGGTACATTTTGGGAGAGGCTATTTCAACAATACATTTGAAGCTGTTAAAGAATATCCAGAATATGGATTCTGGATTAATTCTGTAGAGCTGCCTCATTGCCCTGCACACACGTGAGAAAGCCCAGCCAGAAACAGGACGAGACTGAGTTCAGGTGGAGCTTTAGGCTAAACTTCAAACCATGGAATTGTCAGTTAAATAAATGGTTTTGTATTAAACCTCTATGTTGAGAGGTTTTCTTTAATAAGTTTACTCAGTATAATTATGATCTTCTACACATAGAAAAAGACATGCAACCTAATAAAATACCCAAAGATTTCAACAGGCACTCAACAAATAATTCTAAGAGAATAAATATATGAAATTTATACTGAGTAAACAAGGACATGAAAAATCTGCAATGATTTTTGAAGATTAGAGAACACCTAACCCAACTCCTCACTTCAGAAAATGAAGAAAAGGTGATGTCCCTAGCAGAGGGATAGAGTTAAGTTGCCAACTTTATGTTGTGAAACCAAAATTCCTGGTTTTGGTCCCATCCTGATTCTCTCCACCCATGCTGCCCCTCCTGTGGTAGAGTAGAAAACACTTATGCACACAAAGCATTTGTGCATAGGAAATGCCCAGGAAGTGGACTTAGTCCAAGGGTGTCCTGAGAACCTTACAAGAAGCACACGTGTGAAGGACACTGTGCAGGAGCCCTGATGCCCACCCAACTCCTCACCTGGATGTTCTCTCTGATCCGCTGCTCATTGTAGCTCTTGGCCAGGACCACAACCCCACGCTGCAGCTGGTAGCGCAGGGCAATCAGGGCTGGGGTTTGTTTGTGTTTCTTTGCTAAGGCACAAAGAACTGGGTCCTCCAAAAGAACTGGGGAGTTTGGGTCCACCCTGGAAGGAAAGCCAGAAATGCTGAAGTCTTGAGGCTGGATTCAGTTTGGTAGGAGGCTCCCTAAACAGACTAAGGTGTTCATTCTGCACCAGAGCCTCTCAAGTGAGGTCCCTGAACAGCAGCAGCATCACCTGGTATCTCATAAGAAATGCAAATTATCCCCTTACCCTGACCCATTGAGAATGAACTCTAGGAGACTGAGTATGCTATAACTAAAATTTTTCATCAAAATGGCATTTTAGGTAAACTTCCTGATGCTCTTATTACCATAGTTTATGTCGTTGGGTTCCCAGAGCACTGTGGGCAACCAGAACAATGTCTTTTGACTTGCAGAAATCCAGCAGTTTGCTCTGGTTGAGGTAAGGATGACATTCTACCTTTAGATGATCAAGAGAGAAAAGCATCAGATAATTCAAAACAGATATGTTAATATAAAGATTAAAATAAGCTGAATAAAGTATAACATTAAATTTGAACAGAATATTACTGTCAAGTAACAATCATTTTATAAAAATACAGTTTATATTACTGGTCTAAAAGTATATATAGAAATGTTATTTCTGAGCATTAGCAACTCTATGAACCAGAGCCAGTTTCTAACAACCTTTGACCACTAGAAGTGCACATGGCCAATTCTAGACTTGGGATAGGTTAAGATTCTGAGCTTTGAACATCAAATTGTGCCAGAATGTAAGAATTTCTTTAAAGACTCATAAGGGCAGGTTTAAAAGAGAAAAGTAGTTTTATAGGAATCCCAGTAACATTTGCATAGATTTGAGCATCAAAAACCAACAATGAATAAAATGAATTACAAATTATAGCAAAACAATCCATGTCTTCATAGTGTTGAGTGGTTAAAAGACAGAGTGATCAAAAGTATTTGCCTTCACCAATGGTGATTCATATGTTTTGGCTGTGTGTCCCCACCCAAATCTCATTTTGTAGCTCTCATAATTCCCACATGCTGTAGGAGGGGCCCAGGGGAGATAATTGAATCATGGGAATGGGTCTTTCCTGTGTTGTTCTCATGATAGTGAATAAGTCTCTCAAGATCTAATGATTTTAAAAATGGGTTTCCCTGCACAAGCTGTCTCTTTGCCTGCTGCTGTCCATGTAAGACATGACTTGCTCCTCTTTGCCTTCTGCCATGATTGTGAGGTGTCCCCAGCCATGTGAAGCTGTAAGTCCATTAAACTCCCCTTTTTCCCCACTCTTGAGTATGTCTTTATCAGCAGCATGAAAATGGACTAATATGGTAGAGTGGGGCATTGTTGAAAGATAGATACCTGAAAATGAAGTGACATTGGAACTAGGTAATATGTAGAGGTTCTGACAGTTTGGAGGGCTCAGGAGAAGACAGAAAAGTATAAGAAGGTCCGGAACTTCCTAGAGACTTGTTGAATGTCTTTGACAAAAATACTGATAGTAACCAGGCTGAGGTGGTCTCAGATGGAGATGAGGAACTTGTTGGGAACTGGAGCAAAGGTGACTCTTGTTATGTTTTAGCAGAAATTGACATTTTGTCCCTGCCCTAGAGATGTGTGGAACTTTGGACCTGAGATGATTTAGGATATCTGGTCAAAGAAATTTCTAAGCAAAGCATTCAAGCAGTGACTTGGGTGCTGTTAAAAGCATCCAGTTTTAAAAGGCAAACAGCATAAACGTTCAGAAAACTTGCAGTCTGATGATGCAGTAAAAATTAAAAACCCATTTTCTGAGAAGAAATTCAAGCCAGCTGCAGAAATTTGCATAAGTAACAAGGAGCCAAATGTTAATCACCAAGACAATGGGGAAAATGTCTCCAAGGCATGTCAGAGACCTTTGTGTCAGCCCTTCTCATCACAGGCCCAGAGGGAGGTGGAGGTCTAGGAGGAAAAAATGGTTTCATGGGCTGGGCCCAGGGTCTCCATTCTGTGTGCAGTCTAGGGACTTGGTGCCCTGCATCTCAATCACTCCTGCCGTGACTAAAAGGGGCCAAGGTACAGCTCAGGCCATGGCTGCACAGGGTGCAAGTCCCAAGCCTTGGCAGCTTCTATGTGGTAGTGAGCCTATGTGTGCACAGAAGTTAAGAATTGAGGTATGGGGCTGGTCGTGGTGGCTCACGCCTGTAATCCCAGCACTTTGGGAGGCTGAGGCAGGCAGATCACAAAGTCAGGAGTTTGAGACCAGCCTGACCAACATGGTGAAACCCTGTCTCTACTAAAGATGCAAAAATTAGCCAGGTGTGGTGGCACGTGCCTGTAATCCCAGCTACTCTGGAGGCTGAGGCAGGATAATCACTTGAACCTGGGAGGCGGAGGTTGCAGTGAGCTGAGATAGCGCCATTGCACTCCAGCCTGGGCCTGGGTGACAGAGTGAGACTCCATCTCAAAAAAAAAAAAAAAAATTGAGGTTTGGGAACCTCCACCTAGATTTCAGATTTTAGAGGATGTATAGAAACGCCTGAATGTCCAGGCAGAAGTTTACCACTAGGCATGCACTCTCATGGTGAACTTCTGCTAGGGCAGTGCTCTGGGGTCAGAGCCCCCACACAGTCCCTGCTGGGGCACCACCTAGTGGAGCTCTGAGAAAAGGGCCACCATCCTCCAGACCCTAGAATGGTAGATCCACTGACAGCTTGCACTGTGCACCTGGAAAAGCTGCAGACACTCAATGCCAGCCCATGAAAGCAGCCAGAAGGGAGGCTGTACCCTGCAAAGCCACAGTGGTGGAGCTGCCCAAGAACATAGGAACCACCTCTTACATCAGCATGGATGTAAATGGAGTTCCATTGACTCCTGGATGTGAAACATGGAGTCAAAGGAGATCATTTTGAAGCTTTAAAATTTGCCCTGCTGGATTTCAGACTTGCATGGGTCATGTAGCCCCTTTGTTTTGGCCCATTTCTCCCACATGAAACAGCTGTATTTGCCCAATGCCTGTACCGCCATTGTATCCTGGAAGTAACTAACTTGCTTTTGAGTTTACAGGCTTATAGGTGGAAGGGACTTGCCTTGTCTCAGATGAGACTTTGGACTGTGGACTTTTGATCTAATGCTGAAATGAGTTAAGACTTTGGAAGACTATTGGGAATGCATGATTGGTTTTGAATTGTGAGGACATGAGATTTGGGAGGGGCCAGGGGTGGCATGATATGGTTTGGCTATGTGTCCCCACCCAAATGTCATCTTTTAGCTCCCATAATTCCCATGTGTTGTGGGAGGGACCTGGTGGGAGATAATTAAATCATGGGGGCAGATATTTCCCATGATGTCCTTGAGATAGTGAATAAGTCTCATGAGATCTGATGGTTTTATAAGGAGGAGATTTCCTGCACAAGCTCTTTCTTTGCCTGCCATCATCTATGTAAGATGTGACTTGTTCCTCCTTGCCTTCTGCCATGATTGTGAGACCTCCTCAGCCATATTGGAACTATAAGTCCCAGTCTTGGATGTGTCTTTATCAGTAGCATGAAAATGGACTAATATAGTGATTATTACAGTAATTTTTTTTCTAGGAAATGAATAATTAAAGGGAAGGAGTTAAGCTTTTGGCATATCTGAGAGCAGTAATTGTTTCTTTTCTTGACTTTGTGAAAAAAATTTTTTTATAATAAAACGTAAAGAATAGTAAAACTTGTAGTTAAAATTGAAAGTAATTACTTTAAAGCCCCAAGGAAAGAACAAATACAATAATACAATACAAAAATTTAAAACATCATTGATGTATACTCAATCATCATGTGAAAATTTGCTGTGTAATATAACTTTCCCTCTTATTTCACCCAGCAGATTACCAGTAATTACAAAGGGGAGAACACATGTCTCTGGAAATTAGATCTGGTTACCACTTGTTTAACCAAGTGATCAAAATTAGCATCACTAATTGTGGGACAATCTGTCATTTCATGCTGCCTACTGTGGTATAATTTCAGGGATACAGCAATGTAGAGGCAGTTTCTCACCAAAAATGTTTAACTTCTATGATATAAAGCATTCAAGTATAACTTCTAATCTACACAAACTTAAATTTTAAAAACTTGGAACAACAAGTTAACGGACCAAAGTACAACAAACTGAAAGTCACAATTGGATGTTTTTTTTTTGTTTTTGTTTTCATGATACATCTTTTATTTATTCTTCATTGTTTTATAATTCTCTCCTTAGAGGTCATACACATCTTTTATTAGGTATAATTTCAGGTACTTAATATCTTATGGTATCTTTAAATTTTTTCATCTTCTATTTATGGTTAAAATAGAGGTATAAGAGATCTTTCAATAAAACAATGGGAAATATGAATACTGACTGGATAATCAATGATATGAGGGCATTATTGTTATTTCCTTAGATATAATAATTGCACTGTTACTGGGAGAATATCTTCATTCCTATGCCATGCTTTGAAAGGTCTGTAGAGGTGAATTGTGATCATTGGAATATATTTTGAAGAGATTCAACAAATACTACCTGTATTGATGCAGATATACTCATATATGCCTATATACTTGCCAGGTTGGCAAAGTGTCAACAATTTTGGAAATAGATGATAACATGTAGATGTCCTGTATTATCCCTTCAAATTTCTCTAAAATTTGAAAGTTGTCATAATAATAATTGAGTAAAACTAATATTAAAACCACATTAATTCCTTTTTAATTGAAAATCATGATTTTGTATTATATTACCAAATACATAAATTTTAAATACATGTTTCAACTGTAGACCTGTACTCATTGACTCTAAGTAGTAAAAGAGTAAGAGAACAGAACCATACGCAGAATAAATGCTTCTAAACAGTTGATTTGATGACAGAAAGCAAAGCAGTGCATCAGAATAAGATGTGGACAGTCAAAAGGTCAGCTCAATGTTCTGCTAAATTTTCCTCAGTGTTGATTTCATCCACCATAACTAGTTATCTCCATAAATAGTTAACTTTCCTTTTTTTCACTCTTTAAAGTTTTATTTCACTAACTTTGCATCAAATTTCCACAATTGTGTTCTGGTTAATTTACTATACTTGCTTGACTTCCCAAAATGATAGTACCAAAATATTTGTGGGCTAGGGAGAAGAGACCATTTCAAGCATTACTGCATTTACTCATCTTCCACAAAGCCACAGAGTTGGGCATCTGATTGTTCAATGAAATGAAGCTTTGATAGCACCCAGGAGGGCATACAGGAAAACTAGGCTGTAGACAGTCTTGCATTTGTCAAAATCAGACCAGAGAAAATCTATTCTACATATATAGAAAAGGTATCATATTCATCTTTTTATATTACTGCAATATTTTTCTCTTCATTATCACATCATGGAGTTTCTCAAGTCCTTCCTTTATTTCATGTCCTATGATTGCACAGGTAGGCTGCAAATGCCAAGGAGTTGATGAGCTTAGTTCAACCATTGCTAACAATTTCTCAATTTCTGAGAGAGACAAGTTCTTCAAGTCTAGTTTCTTAGCACCTGTAAGTACAGGGACATCTTTATTTTCTTATACCCTATTTTATAAAGTTCAGTTTTGACTTCTTCCATCCTGTTAACATCAACAGTCCACAACAAACACAATGCCATCTGTGCATCTTGCATATGGCTTCTACAGTGTTCCTCATTTCTTCTGACCACCTACATCTCAGGAGTGAAAAGTGACTTTTAGAATTTTCCAAAATTACCTTAATCTTTTCAGTGTTAAATCCTTTGGTGTGGGTATGGTATTTACAAATTTATTGAATAGCAGCCTGTATAAAACAGTTCTTCTAGCACAGTTCAAACACCAAATAACAATGTGGAAGGACTGAAGTGAAGGCAGGATGGACAAGATAGTAGTTTAGCCAGTTAGCCCATTCCCCCATTTCCAGCTGCAAATAAATGTCCCAAAATGAAATGCTTTCTTTTTTATGCTTTAGAACCTCTCTTCCTAGGTGGCCCAGCTATAAGACTCCCGTTTTGGAGTCTGGGTCTAAATGAGGCAACATTGGCAGGCTTTTCTACACGAGGCAGGGGTGGGGGTAGCACGCCACATCCTTTCAGCTTATCTCTCAAGCAACTCTCATAAACGGGTAACTTCCTCTCCCTAACCTGGATGACTTTCATTGTTTCCAGTTAATTTTTAGTACCTGCTCAAGAACTATGAAAACAGAGATGACAAGAAAAAGCATTCAGACATCTAAACCCTATTTAAACCCGTAGTACCGATCTTCTCTTATTCTCACTGTCTCCTGATTTATTGCTCATCCCATGTTTTTATGGCCTCTATAATTATATACATTCTACTCCAAATCATCTTTACCAATCCACTCTCTGGTGGTCTTTCATACCTTAGAGATAAGTCCACCTTCTCCCTGAGTTCTGATTAACCATTTCAGTCCTCCTTGATGAAATTCACCTCCCCCAAAAATAGTACACACAATTTAGCATGAAGGTCTCTGTACCATTTTCATTAAGACTTCTCCAAGAAGAGGTGCAATTAAGGGTCTTCCGTTTTCTTCTAGACAGATGTTTTGCTTTCTAGAATCTTCTGTTTCACAAATGTAAGTGGAACAAAACAAATGGAAGCCAGGCAGTAGGACAGGAAGATGGACATTGAGAAGAGAAAGGAGAGGAGGCTGAGGGTGCTCACCTGGTTGCAGACAGGCTTGTACTTGAGTCCTGGCTTGTTGAGGATCATCTCCAGCTGCCTGCAGTTGAAGTTTGACACCCCGATGGACTTGGCCAATCCTGCATCCTTACACTTCTCCATGACCTGGGGAGAAAGGGGTTGTGAGGAATTATTTGTGCAGTTGGCTGCAGATTATGATAAATGCAAGACAGAACTGTTAAAGCAACAACTGTTAAGATATGACAATGAAAATAGCAGTGATTCTCAAGAGAAAAAATTACAACAGATAACAAAAGGATAGTGACAGCAAGAAGAATTTGTGTATCCTCTTTAGGAAGCTGGAGAGATAAATGTCCATGGAGCGGGAGGAATATCTGTCTTCCTTGTCCCCAGTTTATCTCCTTCATTTCCTGCTATTCTATTTCAGTCATGTATTCTTCCCTACCACTCAGCAAAACTTCCTTTGTCAAGCTCCTTAATTTCTAGTTCCAATGGTGCATATTCCAATGTTGCATATGAAAGCTGGGGAACAGGTTTACCTCTTCTTGTCTTCCTTTTCTGTACTCTGTCCTCCAAGCACTCACCTCCCATGTGGCAGAGAGATCCACTGTGTCGAATATTACTTTTCCATTTTCATCTTTTGGTAGTGGCGTCTCACCTGGCTGAAGTAGAAGCAGTCACTTTAGTGTCACCATTTAACTTTTCCACCCATAGGCATGCTCCCATGTACATTTTAGGATAATAATCCACCGTGAGGTAGGTGCTGAAATGTTCTAGAAAGTGATGTGGGCCAAGTGTTTCACGTACAGAGTTTTAAGGAATGTCTTTAGGAGACAGGCTTCCTTTAATCTCCTACTTCCATTATATATATTAATAACCATTTTACAGGTTTTAATGGGGGTTCACAGTCGACTTCTGTTACTTTTGTCTGATCCTATAATTTTTTTGGGGGAAATGCCTCTCTTTGACTCAAACAGCCCTTGATATCCAGCAATAAGGGATTGTATTCTTGATCCAGGTGATACAATAAGAGTTCCTTATCCCCCTGAAGACTTGATAGTCCATGAGCAGGATCATAAACTAAACATGTTCAAATGGAAGTTCTTTTCAGTATTAATTTGAAAGTTGTAAGACCCACGGAGGTTCTTTTATGTTAATCACCATGAGCATTGAGCTGCCTCAAAGCTATCATTGCCAACAATCAAAAAGGCTGGGACAAAAATCCAGAAAACTTCTTGGAGTTCATAGATAATTATGGAGAAAGGTCACATTTTTAGAGTCTACGTCAAATCTTGAAATGTATTCATGGCAGTGACTACCCATTTGCATCATGCAATAAACTCTTTTTTAAATAAACTAGCCTGAGTTTTTTTTCTATAAATTTAAAAGTTATGCACAACCGAAATTCATGACTAGGCAAAGCTACAAACTCCATTGTGAAATAAGCCTTAGTGAAAAAGGCAAGGATTCTCAGGTCCTATTATGGTTTCCTTTTTAAAACTCACCCAGAGTGAGTTCCACCAAATCTACTTCAGCTTAAAATGGGGAAAGATAATGGAAACTCACTGTACACCACATGTGCAGCAGTTTTTTTGGGGTACCACAGCTGCATGGATCTCTGTATCTGTGAAGATCCTAAGAGATGGACTCAGGAACCCTAATTAAGACAGAGCCTTGAAGGTGGCTGTTGTTATTTTCTTGAATTTTTGAATCAGAGGCTTTGAGGTTGATGTACTGTCTTCTCTTGTCATCATACGTTACAGAAGGAAGGTTGTACTCTTCAAGAAAATGGCTTAGGCATTATACTTAGGACTCTTCTGCCATGTAATAACACCTACACCCTCCTTAGAAGAAGTTCAATTCAACCATCATAAAGGATGGTCATGCTGAGAACAGAAGAGAAGTTGATCTCACAAATTCCCTACCTTGAGAGCCATTGGGAAATGAAGAAGATAGAGGTCAACATAGTCCAGTTGAAGTTTTTTCAGTGAGCTTTCCAAGGCTGGTTGGACCATCTGTGGTTGAAAGAAAGTGCACCAAAGCTGCATGGTAAAATAAAGGATTTATGTTGAATAAAAACATGAGCTAGTTTTATTAGTTTGCTTCACCTAATATTTAGACATTTTTCACCGTTCCAAACAGATGACCTCTGGCAAAAATTCCCTTTGTTTTATTTTGATATGACCTACCTATATGAAAGCTACATATTGCATATATAGTTAGTACAACTGCTGAACAATGGAATTAAAATTTTCAGTAGGTAAAAATTGATATCAAGTAATTCTGATGATCTGAACTGTGTTTGAGAGAAATTATAAAGCATTTGAATAGTCTAATTTTTCTCATCCATTGAACCCGATGGGCAAGAATAAGCATTCCTGTTTAGAAACTGAAGAGCAAAAAGTTTTTACGTGCTGACATGTGTTGAGCAATCATTCAAGATACTTCTGTTATCTGTTGTTTCATACTCATAACATCCTTATGTTGCATCTCCCTGCCTCCCACACTCTTCACTGAAAAGGACAATTGAGATTCAGAATAAGATATTGAAGAAAGTCATCCCAGACATAAGAAAAACTAAAATATTGATTATAGGTCTCTCTGAATCTGTAGTCTATGTTAAACCATCCTGGTCTGAGTTTTTTGTTCCCAAGATTGTGGATTGGAGGCAGTGTTAGCATGCCTCTCCCACTTGGAAAGACAGAATAGCATATAGAGATTCACACTGCAAACTTTTTTCCAAGAAGCAATGCAGGAACTTAATAGGAAAAGTGAAAATTCACAGACCCTTTGAAAGAAGTGGCAGGCTACAGCCAACACTGTGAGACAGATGAAAAACTGTAAGTGCCCAGAGTGTGAGAAGGGGAGAAACTGCCTCCAGAATACTCTTCCCCACCAGGGAATCTGAGAATTCAGGCCATGGGTAAGGCCTTAACCCTACCCAGGCCCAAAGCTGATTTAGGGAGAGGTGAGAAATAAAGTAGAAGCGGCAGTGACAAGTGTCACAAAGGTATTACCAGTCTCCAGCATGGACTGAGGGAAGCCATTTCTTATTTTATCTCACAGGGGACATCAGCAAAGTCAGCCAACTTGAACTTGGGGAGTTCAGCCACATGTCACAGATCGAAAGAAGCTCCTAACTGAATTTCATGATATTAATATTATCTCAAGTGGGAATGAGCCCCCTTGGCCAGAACCCCGGGGGAAAGCAGGAAGTGTGCTGCAGACAAATGCAGAAGGCTGGCACCTGGCCTTGAAGGTGGATGGGGAGGGGAATAGCTTGAAAGCCAAAGTTGCTATCTCCACAGGAGATGTTCAAAGAAGAACTGGTACCAATCCTACTGAAACTATTCAAAAATACAGAGAAAGAGGGAATCCTGCCTAAATTATTCTATGAAGCCAGTATCACCAAATACCAATACCAGGAAAGGACATAACACACACACACACACACACACACACACACACACACACACACAAAAGAAAACTATAGACCAATCTCCCTGATGAATACAGATGTAAAAATCCTCAAGAAAATACTAGCTAACCAAATCCATCAGCACATCAAAAATATATCATGATCAAGTGGGTTTCATCCCATAGGTGCAGGGATGCTATAATATATACAAGCCAATAAATATGATATACCACACAAAGAGAATTAAAAACCAAAACCATAGGATCATTTCAATAGATGCAAAAAAGCAATTAATAAAATCCAACATCCATTTATGATAAAAACCCTCAACAAACTAGGCATAAAATGCATATATAACAAATCCATAGCCAACATCATACTGAATGGAGAAAAATTGAAAGCATTCCCCTGAAAACTGGAATAAGACAAGGATGCCCAATTTTTACCACTTCTATTAAACATAGTACTGGAAGTCCTAGCCAGAGTAATCAGGCAAGGTAAAAAAAATAAAGGGAATCCAAATTGGAAAAGGATAAGCCAAAGTATTGCTGTTTGCCAGTAATATGATCATATACCTACAAAACCCCAAAGCCTCATCCAAAAAGCTCCTCCGACAAACAAATTCAGTAAAGTCTCAGGTTACAAAATCCGTTTACAGAAATTAGTAGCACTGCTATTCACCAACAACAACCATGTTGAGAGTCAAATTAAGAATTCCATTTACAACAGCTGCAAATAAAATCCCTAAGAATATGCTTAACCAAAGAGATGAAAGATCTCTACAAAAAAATACAAAACACTACTAAAAAGAAATGATACATAAACAAATGGAAACACATCCCATGCTTATGGATAGAAAGAATCAATAGTATAAAAATGGCCATATTCCAAATTCATATGGAACCACAAAAGGGCCTCAATAGCCAAGGCAATACTAAGCAAAAAGAAGAAATCTGGAGGTATTTCATTACCAGACTTCAAATTATACTACATGACTATAGTTATACAAACAGCATGGTACTGGTATAAAAAATAGGCACTTAGATCAATGAAACAGAATAGAGAACACAGAAATTAGGGCAAATACTAATCTTTGTTCAACAAAGCAAACAATAATATAAATTAGGGAAAATAACCCTATTCAATAAATGGTGCTGGGACAACTGTTAAGCCACATGTATAAGAATAAAACTGGAAGCCATCTCTCACCTTATACAAAAACCAACACAAGATGGATCAAAGACTTAAGTCTAAGACCTGAAACCATAAAAATTTTAGAAGATAACATTGGAAAACTCTTCTTAACATTGGCCTGTACATTGGCCTCAGCCAAGAATTTGTCTCTAAGACCCCAAAATGCAAATGCACAAAAAGCAAAAATAAATGGGACCTAATTAAACTAAAAAGATTCTGCACAGCAAAAGAAATAATCATGCGAGTAAACAGACAACCTACAGAATGGAAGAAAGTTTTTGCAAACTATGCATCCAGCAAAGGACTGATTATCCAGAATCTACAAGGAACTCAAGTCACCAAGATAAAAACAAATAACCCTGTTGAAAAGTGGGCAAATAACATGAATAGACATTTCTCAAAAGAAGTATACAAACAGCCAACGAACATATGAAAAAATGCTCAACATAACTAATAATCAGGGAAGTACAAATTAAAATCACAATGAGATATCACCTTCTGCAAGAATGGTTATAATTAAAAAGCTGAAAAGACAGTAGAAGTTGGCATGAATGTAGTAAAAAGAGAACACTTTTACACGGCTGGTAGGAATGTAAATGAGTGTAATCTTTATGGAAAACAGTATGGAGATTCCTTAAAGAACTTAAAGTAGATCTACCATTTGATTCAGCAATCCTAATACTGGTATCTACCAAAAAGAAAAGAAGTCATTATATATAAAAAACACATACCCACACATGTTTACAGCAGTATGATTCACAATTGTAGAAATATGAAACCAATCCAAGTGCCCATCAACCAATGCATGAATAATGAAAATGTGGTATATATATATATACATCATGGAATAGTGTATATATAAAAAGGAATGAAATAATATATTTTGCAGGAACTTGGAGCTTGAGGCCATTATTCTAAGTAAAGTAATTCAGGAATGGAAAACCAAACACTGTACATTCTCACTTATAAGTGGGAACTAAGCTACGAGGATGTATAGATATACAGATTATATAATGAACTTTCAAGACTCAGTGTGGGTTAGGTTGGGAGTGAGGTGAGGGATAAAAGCCTACATAGTGAGTACGATGTCCAGTGATCGCCTGACAGCTTCACTTAAATCTCAGAATCACCAGTGTAGAATTGATTCATGTAACCAAAATCCACTTGTACCCCAAAACCTGTTGAAATTAAAATATGAATTCATAAAATAATTATACTGATCTGAGCTGAGGCTCAAAACCTAAAGTAACTTTCAAGTAGTAAATTTGAACACAACAATGATGAGAAAGGCATCATCATTCTCTGCCTTTTATTTTAGCTTTAATACCTGAATATGTGTGAATAAATTGGAACTAATAAGCACAATTCACCCACAACTACTGAACCAGTTACAGAATTGTCATCTCCACACAATCCCATTAAACACATGTGCATACATGCTCATCATAGGCACAGTACCTTTGAAGTGTAGAATATGTCTTCTCTCTTCACACTGCCATCTGCAATCTTGCTTCGGATGGCCAGTCCAACCTGCTCCTCATTATTGTATAAATAAGCAGAATCAATATGGCGGAAGCCAGCTTCTATTGCTAATTTGGTGACCTCTACAGCTCTGTTCCTCGGAACCTGAAGGAGCAACGAAAGGTAGTATTTGGTGATCAATGTGCTTGAGAGGTAGTGAAACAGGAAAAGTTCCCTTGTCCTCACAGGGTGTGCAGTGGGGGTGTGGCTCGCTTCTTCAGGCCCCCGCTGCTCAGACCTCTAGGGGAGCATACAGATGGGGGCAGGTTGTGGGACTATGACCCGTTGACAGTGTCTAGGTGTGGATGTTTACAGCTCCTGAAGCCCCAGTGGGCATGTGTTACAGGGTGCTCTTTTAGTTTTGTTCTTTAAGTTTTGCCATCTACAGGCTTGTGTTAACCAGCTCAATTAGACCCTCTACCTTATGGCAAGGACAGAGGGCTTTCTGTATCCTGAGTTCTTGCTTTGGTTTACCGGAAGGATCGGATCACACCTGGGCTTGGTGAATGAGTGCAGGGTTTCATTGAGTGGAGGTAGCTTGGGGGGAAGTCAGAAGGGGATGGAGTAGGAACGTTTTCCCCTAGAGTCCGGCTGCTCAGCAGCCTGGACTGTCTTCTGACTGCCCCAGCCAAACTCAGCGTCATTCTGCTTCTGCCAGTAGGTGGCCCGCTGGCGTACTGGTGCCTTTCGGTGCATTTCTCTAGATGTCTAGCCACCTGTGTATTCCTCTGCCGATGTGATCCTCTCAAAGTCCACCCGGTTCTGTCTCTGCCTTGTTAGGATTTGGGGTTTTTATAGGCACAGGATGGGGGCATGGCAGGCCAGGGTGGTCTTGGGAAATGCAACTTTTGGGCAGGAAAACAAAAATGCCTGTCCTCACCTAGGTCCGAGGCGGTGGAGCCGTAGCCAGGGACCACGTCCTCCTCTAGCCAGCACTTCCCTTCCCGCTTTCTGTATCATTTAAAGGGACCACGCTCTTCCCTTCCCAGCACATCCCTATCAGTAGTTCAGGCACCAGCACTGACCTTCACAAAAATCACATTATCCTCGTGTCTTGGGTTGGTTCTATATGTGGGGTGATAAACCCATCCCAATTTGCTGAAGTCTTTCCTGGTTAGTAATAAAGATTGGGTATCCCTGGACCTCTTCAGTCCCAGGCAGTTACTGGTTAATCACTAGCATGGAGTTTCCCAACAACAACCTCAGATTCAGTCATTTGTTAGAAAAATTAACAAGACTCAACTTATAAATAGTTATTATTATTTGAGACAGAGTCTCACTCTGTCACCCAGGCTGGTGTGAAGTGGGACAATCTTGGCTCACTACAAAATCTGCCCCCACCCCCACCTTCTTTACCTTGGGCTCAAGTGATCCTCCCACCTTGGCCTCCCAAATAGCTAGGACCACAGACAGGCATGATAATGCCTGGTTAAGTTTTTGTATTTTTGGTAGAGATGGGATTTCCTATGTTACCCAGGCTCAAACTCCGGAGCTCAAGGGATCCACCTGCCTTGGCCTACCAAAGTTCTGGGATTACAGGCATGAGTCACTGCATACACACTCCTAATTATTTTTAATATAGTGAAATTAACACATGGAAAAAGGCACATGGAAGAAATTATGGTAAGAATACGGTGTAAGTTCCTATGATTCGTCTCTCAGTGATGTTTCAGGAAACACACTGACTTCCTCCAGCATCACATTTTGGCAACATAGGGGAAATGTTGACTACAAGGGATGCTATTTGGAGACTCAATTCCCAAGATTTTAACTGGGTGCTGGTTAAATTGACCCAGTCTGTATAGCACACACCAAACTTCCGGTCTTGTAAAGAAAGCAGGTATACAGAAACCCCACACTTTGTACAACCAGTTAATTATAGATGCTACCCTTATCAGTTAGGAAGGGGTGAGAAATTCAACTTCTCAGATACCAGCCAGGCTCCAACTTTGAAAACAGGCGCATCTACGGGTGGCAGTCTATTGTGTTAACTCCTTTCTACACAGCCATTAGCCATTCTGTGTGCATGACAGAACTAAATACTAGGAGTAAAGACATACATTCCAAGGATGTAGATTTATACCTAAGAAATTAACTGCGACCTGTGAGAGATTAGTAAGGTACGCTTTATCCCTAAAAAATAAGACCAACTCTTTTAGAAACGATATAATTTCAGTGAAATTTAAAATTATTGACTTATCTACCAAATTTGGATAAAGATTTGAAAGGTATATTTTTTAAATGACAAAACCGTAAATGAAACAATTTTCTATTTTAATATAAGCTTTTCTGAAGCTTTCTTTTTCTAGTGAAATTAAAAGGAACTAGATGCCAGGTTGCACTACCTTCCCCTGATGCCAACCCTGATCCTCTGTTTGCTGTGCAGGCACTCAAGGTTTACCAAGGCTAGAGCTTCCGTGTTGTGCTTTTCCTTACTTCTCCTTCATGCCAATTTGCATTACAAAGTGAACCACTCCTGTCGATGGTCTTCAAGGTGTTTCTCTGTAAATTCTTACAACGTATAGTTGATCAAATTTAGACAAAAATTTTATGTGACTACTCCTTATTAACACACTTAGTAGTCTTGGAATACAAGTTTTCTTCCAGTGTAGAAATAGCTCAGTCTAGAAAAAATGTCTCCATTTTGCCCACTTCCGTGTCAGAGGGCCACCCCTATCATTTTGATACAAATCTGATGCATATTAACACGGACCAAAAATTTAAAATTTTTCTTGTGAGGTTCTAGGTTTTCCTTAGAATAAAGTTATTTTTCCTTTCAGATAATTTTCCTAGAGGTGAGAGTTGTGCAGGGCATTGTATTAAGTCCAGGACCAGTATTACTGTGTCATGCTCAAGACCACGCGGCAGCTCAGCAGTACTCTCCCAACAGTTTTCATACACCCCATCTTTAGGTGCTGTTACCACAAATGTTTCTTTTGATCACGTCTAGTAGAAGAATAAAAGATTTCTTCAACCACAGAAATAAATGGAGAAACCATTCTCACTGCAGTCATCTCCTAGAAAGGGAACTGCCAGGCAGTGTTCTTCACTGTTGAGTTTTATATATTCTGCCAAGCTGGGCAATACACAGAAACAGCATATAAAAACAGTGTATAAAATAAAAATAAGCAGTAAATTACCATATGACAGACCTCAGTGCAAAACAAACATTGACTACCTTTTCTCTTTGAACATAGAATAGCTCTAGCCCAGTAAGACAGACCACGTGAGTCACTCAGGGTAACAGAAACACAAAGCTGAACAACCCAGGTCATCGTTCACTTATTCTAGCTTTGCTCTTTTAAATGCTCAATGCTGAAAATGTGATTATTACCTCTGGAGGTGCATAGGTGCCAAATCCCAATACGGGCATGAAGTGACCATCATTTAGCTCTACACGCTGATATTTGGGATCCATTGCTTGCCACTTCTTTCACTAAGCAGATCCTGTTTCCTTCAGCAACATCTGGCATTTATATTCAGGGGTTATGTAAAACATGGGCAGGCAGTGCTGCACTGCTCCCTGGGGCTAATCAATGGCATGTAGGAGGAAGCAAGTGATGGTGTATTACACAGGCTGTGAGGAAAATTGAATCCAGTTCACTCGTTTCTTATCAAAGAGAATTTTTACATACATTATTATATAGTCAAAATATTTTTTTCTAAAGTGAAATTTTCTATTCAGAATCAATCAATCTCTCTCTCTGTCTGTCTGATAAACTCATCCAACAGGTTTATAGAATGATTGGTGATCATGTTAGACTATAAAATACCTCCAGCTACAAATCTTGTTTTTGTTCATGCCATGATGATATCCCATCTTTATCTTCTGTCATTTGAAATAATCAACCATCTTACATCTTTCTCTCAGACAGTATTCAAAAGAATGACCAGTGAGCATTTTTTTTTAGTGGTGACCCTCAATAAAGAAATTAAACAAAACCAAAGAAAATTTCTCTTTTTACGTTTTTCACCAACAAATTAATTTTGTTTCTTCTTTAATTGTAGTAGGAATATTCATTCCTGATGAAGGTGTGGTCCTGATGATGTGGCAATCCTGCAAAGGTTCAAAGGGAAAAGAAAACAGAAATTCTGACATGATGTTTATTGGAGTATTAATTATTAACAATGTTTGGACTTTGGACATCATTTGCAACATGCAAACAGTTCTTTAATAGTGTTTGTATCTTCCATCAGTTTTATAAGAAACCAGCAAAAGTAACTTCCCAAAAAGCTGATAACTATTTTATATAATTTGTGATCTTATTAAATGTTATAAAGAAAAAAGTAATTAAAATAAATTGGTGAATAATCCTCACATGGCATAATTTTACTTGTTTCTCCCATTGGAGGGCAGACTAGAACACGATGATTAGGCCGGGGGCAGTGGCTCACGCCTGTAACCCCAGCACTTTGGAAGGCCAAGGCGGTAGGTTTACTTGAGGTCAGGAGTTTGAGACCAATCAAGTGAAATCTTGTCTCTACGAAAAATACAAAAATTAGTCTGGAGTGGTAGTGGATACCTGTAATCCCAGTTACTCAGGAGGCTGAGGCAAGACAATTGCTTAAACTCAGGAGGCAGAGGTTGCAGTGAGCCAAGATTGGGTCACTGCACTCCAGCCTGGGCGACAGAGCAAGACTGTCTCAAAAAAAAAAAAAAAAACAAAAAACAAAAAACGAAGATGATTAACATCTGTGAAGAATCCATACCAATATCTGTTGTTGTCTGACATTTTAAGAATAGCCATTCTGACTGGTGTAAGATGATATCTCTATGTGCTTTTGATTTGCAACACCCTCTTTTCTTCTATTCACTTCTTCCTAAAAGGAACAATAAAAGAAAATAATTAGGTAAATTACTATACATTGAAGCAATGGAATATAATAGAGCCATTTAAAAATTTTCACACAGAGTGTCATCAGCAGGATGGTAGATTAGAAAGCTCTCAAATCTCCCATGGAATTATCAAAAAACAATCTGAAATGAACTAAAATAAACTCATTTATTTATAGAGTGGCTCAGTAGAGATGCAGGGTGACTATAGATGCACAGATGCCACTGGCAAGAGATTAGGGGGAAGAGACATACAATAGGCCATCTATGGCACTTAGGAGAAGCTGAGCTGTGAATTTTTGACATGATAAGGTATTCAAAACCATTGGGTATTTGGAGAAATCAAATAGGGCACACAGAGTCTAGGCAGATGCACGTTCAGAAAAGAACTGAGAAGACCTTAAGTTTTCATGTAGGGCTGATGTCGAGACTAAGAATATGCCAAGCATATTAGCTGATCATTGTCATGACACAGAATATATATAGATTATGAAATGTGGCTGTTTTTCAAATGTGCGATAAAAACAATAACAAAGCTACAAAGAAACAGGAAAACAGCGTTCATTATGAGGAAGAAAATAAACTGACAAACTGTGAAGAATTACAGGCATTGATATTAGTAAGGAAAGACTTTCGGATTTTTATTTCTTATTAAAGTCTTAAAAATTATTTTAGATTAAATAGGCACATGTGTAGGTTTGTTATATAGACACATTACATACTGGTGAGGTTTGGGCCTCTGGTGTACACATCACTTAAATAGTGAACATTGTACCCAATAGGAAGTTTTGTCATCTTTGCCCCTGTCTCCACCTTTCTCCCTTTTGAAGTACTTGATGTCTATTATTTCCATGTTTATGTCCGTGTGTACACATTGTTTAGCTTCCCCTTATAAATGAGAATATGTGGTATTTTGTTGTGCTTGTACGATAGTTTACTTAGAATAATATCCTTTAGTTCCATCCATGCTGCTGAAAAGGACTTAATTTCACTCTTTTTAGTGGATGCTTAGTATTCCATAAGCATATATGCTTAGTATACGTATGTACACTTAGTATATATATATATGCATATTAGTATGTATATGCACATTTTGCCTTCTTTCCACATCCACACTGATATTTGTTGTTTTTTGACATTTTAATAATAGTCATTCTGACTGGTGCAAGATGACATCTCAATGTGCTTTTAATTTGCATTTTTCTGATGACTATTAAAAACAGTTTCCTGTATATTTGTCAGCTGCTTGTATGTCTTCATTTGATGAATGTCTGTTCATGTCTTCTGCCTAGTTTTTAATGGGATTGTTTGTGTTTTACTTGTTGAGTTGGTTTGAGTTCCTTATAGAATCTAAATAAAAGTCCTTTGTTGGAGCCTAAATTTGAAAATATTTTTCCCATTCTGTAGATATTCTGTTGATTATTTCTCTTGCTGCCCATAAGTTTTTTAGTTTAATTCCCATTTATCTGTCTTTGTTACATTTCCTTTTTGGCATCTTCATCATTATATCTTGGCCTAGCTCAATGTCCAGAAGAGTTTTTCCAAGGTTTTCTCCTAGGACATTCATAGTTTCAGATTTTCCTTGTAGGTCCTTAATCCACGTTGACTTAACTTTGCCAATGGTAAGAGATAGGGGTTTAGTTTCATTATTCAGCTTTGGCTAGCCAATTTTCTCAATACCATTTAATGGTTACAGTGTCCTTTTCTCATTGTTTGTTTTTCTTTAACTTTGTCAAAGATCAGTTTGTTGTATGTATGTAGCTTTATTTCTAGGTTCTCTATTCTTATTTATCCACGTGTCTACTGTTGTATCAGTACCATGTTATTTTAGTTACTATAGTCTGTTAGTATAATTTGAAGTCAGGTAAAGTGATACCTGTGACTTTGTTCTTTTGCTTAGGATTGCCTTTTTATGAAATTTAGATTTTTTTGTAATTATATGAAGAATAATGTTGGTACTTTGTTAGGAACTGCATTGAATCAGTAGTTTGCTTTGGGCAGTATGATCATTTTCATGATATTGATTCTCCCAATCCATAAGCATGGTAATCTTTTTATTTGCTTGTTTCATCCATGATTTTTTTCATCAGTATTTTGTATTTCTCCTTGTAGAGATCTTTCACCTGCTTAATTTTATTTATATCTAGATATTTTATTCTGTTTTTGTCTATTGCAAATGGGACTGAATTATTAATTGGGTTTTAGCTTCAACATTATTGGTGTATAGAAATGCTACTGATTTTTCTACATTGATTTTGTATCTTCAAATTTTATTGAAGTTTTTTTTTTTCAATCAAGCAGTCCTTTGAAGGAGTCATTATAGTTTGATAGGTATAAAATCATGTCATCAGAAAAAAATTGATAATTTGAATTTCTCTTTTCCAACTTGGATGGCTTTTATTTTTTTCTACTGCCTGGGTTTTCTGGTGAGGACCTCCAGTTCTATGTTAAGTAAGAGTGGTGACAATGGACATTCTTGTCTTTTGCCAGTTCGTAGGGTGAATGCTTTCAACATTTTCCTATTCAGGAAGACGTTGGCTGCAGGTTTGTTATGTAAGACTTATTATTTTGAGATATGTCTTCAATACATAGTTTATTAAGGGTTTTATGAGAAAGAAATGTTGGATTTTATGCAATGCTTTATGTCTCTTTTGAGATGATCATATGGTTTTTGTTTAAATCTTAGTTATATGGTGAATCAAATTTATTAATTTGTGAATGTTGAAACATCCTTTATTCCTGCAAGAAAACCCACTTGATCATGATAAATTATCTCTTCGATGTGCTCTTTGTTTCAGTTTGGTAGTATTTTGTTGAGAATTTTTGCATCCATGTTCATCAGGGATATCGGCCTTTAGATTTCATTTTTAGTCGTGTTGTTGCCTGATTTTGGTATCAAGGTGACACTTGTTTCCTATAATGAGGGATACTATGAAATAGCTTCAGGAAGGTTTGTTTCGGATCTTCTTTGTACATCTCATAAAATTTGGCTGTGAATTCATCTCGTCCTGGGATTTTTTTGTTCTTGCTCTTTTACTGATTAAATGTGCTTGCTTATTATTGGTGTGTTTAGAATTTCTATTTATTTCTGGTTCAATTTTGAGAACTTGTGTATTTCCAAAAATTCAATCATTTTCTTCAGGTTTTCTATTTTGTGTGCACAGAGATGTTCATAGCAATATTTGTTAGTTTTTGTGTTCTGTTCTAACAGTTGCAATGTTGCCTTTGTCATTTCTGATTTTGCTCATTTGAATTTTCTCTGTCTTTCTTGGTTAATATAACTAGCAGTCTATAATTTTGTTTAACCTTTCAAATAACATATTTTTAATATTTTTGATTCTGGCATCATTGTTTTAGTCTCAATCTCATTTGGTTCTCCTCTAATATTTCTTATTTTTTTTTCTGCTAGCTTTGGGTTTGATTTGTTCTTGTTTTTCTAGTTCTTAGGGGTGTGACATTAGGTGGTTAATTTGAGATGTTTCTATTTTTTTTTTGAAATGGAGTCTTGCTCTATTGCCCAGGCTACAGTGCAGTGGCACGATCTCGGCTCACTGCACACTCTGCCTCCTGGGTTCAAGTGATTCTCGTTCCTCAGCCTCCCAAGTAGCTGGGATTACAGGCACCCACCAACACGCCCGGCTAATTTTTGTATTTTTAGTAGAGATGGGGTTTCACCCATCTTGGCCAGGCTGGTCTCAAACTCCTGACCTTGTGATCCACCCACCCTGGCCTCCCAAAGTGCTGGGATTACAGGCATGAGCCACCATGCCTGGCCTGTTTCTGTCTTTTTGATGTAGACATTTAACACTATAAACTTACCTCTTAGCACTGCTTTTGCTGTATGTTAGAAGTTTTGGTAAGTTGTGTCTCTATTTTCATTGTTTTCAAAATATATTTTTGACTTATGCTTTTGTTTAATGTTTACCCAAAAGTCATTGAAGACAAGTTTTTAGCCTCTATGTAGTTGTATAATTTTGACAATTCTTCTTGGTATTGATTTCTAAATTTATTCTCTTGTAGACTGAGAAGATACTTGATATAACATCAATTTTTTGAATTTATTGAGACTTGCTTTGTGCTCAGGCATATGGTTGATTTTACAGAATGTTCCACACAGAGATAAGAAAAATATATACTCTGTGGTTGTTGTGTATAATGTACTGTAAATACCCATTAGATCCATTTCGTCTAGAGGCTAGTTTATATCTGAAGTTTCTTTTTAACTTTCTGCCTTGATGACCTGTCAGGGTTATCTATGCGTGTGGAAGTATAGCAGCAAATGTTTTCTCATATGTCTAGTGGTATTTGTTTCATGAATCTGGATGCTTCAGAGTTGAATGCATGTATATTTAGGATAGATTGTGTTTTTCTACTGTTTTCAGTTCAAAGTCACTTTCAACTTACATAAGAATGGCTACTCCTGTTCACTTTTGTTTTCAATTATTATAATATATATTTAAAAAATATATACTATAAAAATTGATTTTGGTGTGTTTGTAATGAAATCTTTGTTCGTTCCTGTGTCCAGAATGGTATTGCCTAGGTTGTCTTTTAGAGTTTTTATAATTTGGGGTTTTACATTTAAGTCTTTAATCCACCTTCAGTTCATTTTTGAATATGGTGTAAGGAAGGGGTCTGATTTAAATCATATGAATATGGCTAGCCAGTTATCACAGTACCACTTGTGAAATAGGAAGTCTTTTTCCAATTGCTTGTTTTTCTTAGCTTCATTGAAGATCAGATGGTTGTAGGTGTGTGGCCTTACCTCTGGGCTCTTTATTCTGTTCTATTGGTCTATATGTCTGTTTTTGTACCAGTACCATGCTGTTTTGGTTACTGTAGCCCTGTAGTACAGTTTGAAGTGTGATGCCTCCTGCTTTGTTCTTTTTCCTTTGATTGCCTTGGCTATTTGGGCTCTTTTTTGGTACCATATGAATTTTAAAATAGTTCTTTTCCAGTTCTGTGAAGAATGCCACTGGTAGTTTAATAGGAATAGCATTGACTCTATTAATTGCTTTGGGAAGTATGGCCATTTTAATGACATAATTTTTTCTATTCATGAGCATAGAATGTTTTTTCCATTTGTTTATCTCTGATTTCTTTGAGCTATGTTTTGTAGTTCTCATTGTAGAGATCTTTCCCCTTCCTGATTAGATGTATTCATAGGCATTTTATTCTTTTTATGGCAGTTGGGAATGGGATTGTGTTTCTGACTTGGCTGTTGGCTTGACAGCTGTTGGTGTATAGAAATGCTAGTGATTTTTGTACATTGATTTTGTATTCTGAGACTTCACTGAAGTTGTTTATCAGTTTGTTAAAGAGCTTTTGGAATGAGACTAGGGGGTTTTCTAGATATAGAATCATGTCATCTGCAAACAGGGGTAGTTTTACTTTCTCTCTTCTTATTCGGATGCCCTTTATTTCTTTGTCTTGCCTGATTTCTTAACCATGATTTCCAATACTACATTGAATAGGCGTGGTGACAGAGGGCATCCTTGTCTTGTGCCACTTTTCAAAGGGCATGCTTTCATATTTTGCCCATTTAGTATGATATTGACTGCGGGTTTGTCATATATGGGTCTTATTATTTTGAGGCATGTTCCTTCAATATCTGGTTTACTGAGTTTTTAACATGACGTAGTGTTGAATTTTATCAAAAGCCTTTCCTGCATCTATGAAGATGATTATGTGGTTTTTGTCTTTAGTTATGTTAATGTGATGAATCACATTTTTAATTTGTGTATGTTGAGTCAACCTTGAATCCCAGGGATAACACCTACTTAACTGGGGGAAGCCACCATTGTTTCTGTGTTTCTTCCTTTATCAGAATGTTGTTGTGTGTCTCATAACTGTACATTGAATGAAATTGGCTTAAATTTTCACATTAAAAGGAAGATTTGCAGAATGGATTTTAAAAAATCTAGAACCCAACTCTATGTTCTGAACTAGAAACTCACTTTAGGTGAGGACATAAATAATATGAACATGAAAGACAGAAATAGGTATTGTATGAAAGTAGTAACCAAAAAAGAGCTGTGATAGCTATACTAGGACCAGACACAATACAATTTAGTCAAAAACTCTGACAAGAGATAATCAAGACATAGTACACAGGCATACGTTATAGATATTAAATGTTGGGTTCCAGACCACCAACATAAAAAATAGCACAAAAATGAATTACATAATTTTTTTATTTCAACTGCATATAAAAATTATGCATACACTATTCTGTAATACATTAGGTGAGCAATAGTATCTAAGGAAACAATGTACATACCTTAATTTAAAAAAAATTTTGTTACAAAATGCTAACAATCATCTGAACCTTCAGCAGGCTGTAATCTGAACTCCAGTTCAGACCTTTCCCCAATAATTCAGACTGGAATGACAAATTGTCCATTCAGCACCTCCTCTTGAGGGTCTAATGGGCATTTCAAGCTCAGGATGCCACAGAAAAAAATTTATTTAATCTCCATGCAATTTAGCTCCACCTTAAATTTTCACAGTCTCAATGATTCCTTTCTTTCCATCATAAAGAACTAAATTTGGGGAGTGATTCTTGCCTTTTAATATTCTCTCATAACCAATATAAAATCTGTGAACAAGGCCTCTGATGTTCACCTTAAAAATTACCCAGAATCTGACCACTTCTCCTCACCTGCTTTACAACCATCCTGTTCCAAATTACTCAATTTCTTACATTGGTTATTAAGTAGCTTCCTAACTAGTTTTCCACTTTTATCCCTCACCAACCTACATTCTACTCTCTACACAGCAGCTCAGTTTCATTCAGTGTCTTCTTATCTGTCCTAGAGTGAAAGCCAAATGCTTTCAGTGGCCTACAGGGCTCTGCCGAAACATGGCCTTCCCTTCCTTTCTGACCTCTTTCCTAATCCTGCTGTTCCCAGATCACACGTGGCCTTCCCTGGCTACAGGGACTATGCCCTTCAGGATCCCTCTGCTTGAAGCCCTTTTCCCTCAGCTGTCAGCAAGGCTGGCTTCCTCCACTCCTTCAGGTCTTTTCTTAAATGTCTCTGTCTCAGTGAGGATCCCCTGCTTAAGCTATTAAGCTATTTGTAATTTCAATTGTCCCTGCCCTCTTTCCATACTCTACACCTTTCCCTACTTTTTTCCCTTCACAGTGCTTCCTATCATACAACATGGTTTTCATTCTATGTAATTATTAGTTTTTTGTCCGTTTCTGTCTCCTTGAAAGTGAGTTCAATGCAGGCTTCGATTTTTGTCTGTTTTTAATGCCGACAACAGTATCTTGCACGTTATAGCTACTCACTATTTATTTTTGAATGAAATACACTTTCATATAATTCTTGAATGTGTTCCATGGAGGCCATTGCAACATATTTTCTGGCACTCCTTCTACCTCTTCTTCCAGAATTGCACGTTTCCTTCTGTTTCCTTGGGTGCCTTGCTATATTATAATTGCCATTTGCACTCTGTCACCTTGTGTAGGTTTTAAGCTGCTAAGGTTGTAGTGACTTGTGTGCAGCCATGCAGAGTTGATCTAGTACCTCTGCTCAGATCCTCAATGGGCTGCAGTAAAGGCATAAGTCTAAAGCAGGGTCTCCTGAAGGCTTAGAGGGGAATAACCTGCTTCCAAGGTCAGGGGGGAACTGGCAGGGTTTGGTTTCTTCTGGACTGTCTGAATGAAAGCCTCAGTTTTGAGCTGGCTGGTGACCAGAGGCCCCACTCAGCTCCTCTCCATGTGAGCCTCTCCTATGTTGCCACCAATTTTATCAAAGTTTGAAAACTGAGAAAACAGTAGAGTTTCCTAGCACAATGGAAATTACAATTTTGTATTTCCTAATGATGGAAATAATATCACTCTTCTTTACAATAGTCAATTGTTTAGAATAAAGACACAAGTACTAGTCACAGTTGATGAGAGGGCATTATACACATTATACAGGGCCATAAATACCAGGAGGCAGGGATCACAGGGGAACAATTTGCCATCTGCCCACCTCTTATCCAATAAACCATGAGCTCCCTGAGAGCAACTCATATCCTTGGTAGCTTTTGAAAACCTGAGGAAGTAAAAATAGTGCCAGGAAACCATGGACGAACACCTTTCCAGTTAGGGAAGATGGATTCTGAAAAGTGCTTGCTACAAAGCATGACGTCAAATCTGTAAATGTTTTAGGATAATGCTTAAGGCAAGTTTAAGGGAGCATGAAGCCCTGCTTTGGATTTACTAAGAATAAAATTGGCACACTCTCTTTCACTAACAAATTTCCTAGACTGCTAAATTAGGGAAGTGACAGAGAAATGTCTCTTACTTGGGTAAACCATTTAGTGCAAAATACAGGTTAATATTGCAAACATGTTAGACAAATTTTTAATCTAGTGAATGATGAGCTTCAGGCTATTACCATTAATAGACATGCTTTTTTTGTGACTTGACACAGAACTTAACCCCATCTCTGTAGGGTTCTACAGTTTTACCAGTGTAATATAAATAGTATACTTGCCAGATTTATAACTGATACAATGTTGTGATAATTATAAACTACAGGGAATCAGAATCAGGCAGAATTCGGACCTTGAGCAGCCAGAGCTATGGGTTCAAAATAAGATAAATGACAACGTCATGTTTCAGGATTGCCTCTAAGATACCAATGGCACAAATACATGTTGGAGAAAGCACCGCATAATAAAAACACCAAAGAAAATACCACTTAAGCATCTTATCTAGCAGAAGCTCCTTATTAGTGGAGAGTGTAATTTCAATGATGTGATTTTTTTTGACCTGCTTCATAGAAGCTAAGAGAATAAGAGGCACACAGAGAAGGCTGGTCAACCTCACCCAGGGAGGTTATAGAAGAAGTCATCTTCTCTTTTTATAGTATTTCATAATGTGATAATTAAATCTATTACTTAAAATTTGAAAAAAATAAAAAAAAAGATGAAGAGGTGTTTTTAGCAATAACTGGTTACCCTGCTGATTATTTCAAAGTCTGTTATGTTATGTTATTTTATTTTATTTTTTTGAGAAGGAGTCTTGCTCTGTCACCCAGGCTGGAGTGCAGTGGTGCAATCTTGGCTCACTGCAAGCTCCGCCTCCCGGGTTCATGCCATTCTCCTGCCTCAGCCTCTTGAGTAGCTGCGATTACAGGTGCCCACCACCACGCCCGGCTAATTTTTTGTATTTTTAGTGGAGACAGGGTTTCACCGTGTTAGCCAGGATGGTCTCGACCTCCTGACCTCATGATCCGCCCACCTCAGCCTCCCAAAGTGCTGGGATTACAGGCATGAGGCACTGCACCCTGCCCAAAGTCAGTTATTTCGAACCATTTAAGGTATTAACCTTGGTCCAGACCTGTTGTCCTCACCTACAGAGGATGAAAGTGTCCAAAGTGAATTATGCAGAAGGCCATTTAGGCTGAGCCTCTTGGCATCTGAATTGGAAGCCATTTTTAATTTTCATTTTTCTCATGGTTGCTGTGTGTGTGTTTATGTTTGCAAAAGCAATTTAGGCCCTGGAATTCCAAGCTGTTCTGTTAAGACCCAGGCTGCTTTGCTATCTCCTATCTTTGTTCAAAACAAACAAACAAAAAACAACAATAAAAAGAAGGAGTCATAAAGGATGTTAGACTGTAGGAGGTGCTTTTAGGATAAGTAAAAGATAAGAAACCCGCTGGAGACCAGGAGGGAGTTAAGCAGGCTGTTCTAAAAAGAGACAATGGCTGGAACAAAGGCAAGAGCATAGAAATGTATCCATGATCTCAGACAAGTTTTTTCTGCAAAACATTCAAGGAAACAAGTCAGAGAAAATGGAGTGTGGCTTGACACAGGAGGGAAATATACTGGGAATAGGGGTGGGTGTTCTTAAGAAATTTCATTACATGCATGGCTGGCACTAGGCCTCAAGCGTTATTCAAGGAATTCTAATAAGCTGTTTTAAAGGGATTAACAATCAAATATAAGTGAGAAAGTTAACTTCAGTTCTGTAGTAGAATTAGTGTTTTGAAATGACCACCCTAATAATAACTTTGCCTCTTGTAAAGGAAGTCTAGTGTACTTATCAAGGACAAATTGGTGTGGTTCATTTTTCAACTAAGGAATCAAGTGTGAACAACACGGAGGAGAAAATCAAAGTCCTCTGGCATTCACAGCATTTCTGAGTGAGTTTTCTGTAAAATACTCCCACAGAGACATAAGAATCAGAGAAAAGGCACTGGACTGATTCCAGTTTCATTTTGAAATCATTGGCAGCTGTCATCTCCATCCCGCCCATCCTGCATTTGGTGCAAATAAAGAACGCAGGAGCCTTGTCTCCTACTGGGCTGTCAGTGAGGAAAAGGAGGAAAGACAGGTTAGCTGGGGATGATGACGGATCTGAAGCAAAGCCATTCAGTGAGGCTGAATGATGGACCCTTCATGCCAGTGCTGGGATTTGGCACTTATGCTCCTGATCATGTAAGTGGACCCCAGGAGGCTGAAGTTTCTTAGGTCAGCTGTACTTGCAGGGCAGTCATCAGGCAAGAGCCCTGCACTTGGGTAGACAGTGGATGCTTGGAAGGGCTCATCTGGGATTTCATTTAACTGTCTCTAACTTGCTCCTCTCAAGGTCACAGAGATCTTTTTTGCTTTAAGTGGCATGGCAAGTTATTGATTGTGGGGATTCTGAGATTGATAATTTTGTGGGTATATTATCTTTATTTCTATTAAAAGTATCAATGTTACCTAATATATCAAATGCTTTCCATGTATTTTAGGTGTTTTACATGCATTATCTTATTTAATTCCTTAACAACTGGCCTAGGTAAGTACTCATTAAAATTTGTTACGTTTTAAAAATGCAAGCTCAGACTGTTCTCATCTTTTGCTCTGGTCAGAGCCACTCTACTCTTGGTTAGAAATGTGAAGGGCCAAGGACCCAGGAGGAATCAAAAGCCAAAATGAATACTTAGTGGCAGCTTTGCTGTGAGGTTATTGGGGCTGGAAGTATTTGCCAGAGAGTTTCAACCATCCAAACTTTTTGCTATATAAGAAGCCACTGCGATTCTGTTACAGTCTCATCAATGTATTAAAAATATAGTAGTCTTTCATTTTGAGGGATTATCTGAAGTTTTTTGTCTTATGACTGAGAAAATTAAGGACTGTGGACACAAAGGGTAAGGTTGGAGTGAAAGTTTAATAAGTGAAAGAAGGAAGATTTTCTCGAGTAGAGAGGGGGCCTGGATGGATTGTTAACTATGAGGTCAGGTCTAGGGTTTTGATGGACTGGGAAAGAAAAGAATTTGTTGACTGGTCTTGGAGAAAGTGTAACTCAGCTTGTCCTGGGACCTTGGTCTGGGACCAATCAGGAGTTGAAGTGATAGCTTGGCCTGGGACCTTGGCCCAGGAGCAGTCAGATGCTGAATGATAATTCATAAAGGCTCATCTCACGGTCCACATGTCCACAAAAGGAAAGGAAAGTGCCCACCAGAGCCCACTGGAGCCCACCATATACATGCCCACAAAAGAAAAAGAGACTTTCCTAGAAGTCTGTTGGTTACACAAAAGACAAATGTGTTTCTCTGTTGGTTCTTGTTCTCATATGAGTGCAGTTGTTGCCATGTCTTAGGCATAAAGGACAAAGGCATTTTGATGTTGGGCCTTGTTTTTTTATCTGAGTGAGCTGGAGGTTTGTGTAAGTTTCCTTATCTGTGTGTGTAGTCTGATTTTTTTCAAGCTGTTTCTCTGTTTAAAGGAGTTTTACCAAGAACTCACTCTAACTGTTTAAGTTTTTTCTCTCATTTTTACCCTCAGGAGTGGAGTCCCTAATTGTCAGGGAGATTGGGTGTTGACTTTTCTGGCTATTTTTTTGTCGGATGGTGGTGTCATGTGGGGAACAGTAGTTAGAGTTCTTCCTGGGGTTGGTTTAATGATCTTTGGAAGAAAGATATGTTTATGTGTGGTGTTATTAGTATTACCATTTAGAGTTTGATAGTTTTTATGTGAGAAGAAATAATTTGGGCTATTAGAGTACATGTATTAAAATGAAATAAGGGGGGATAAGGATAGTTTAAAAATTCTGAGGTTGTTGATACGTCCTGATAATTGGTAGTTATAGTTATGTCTGTTACGATTTCGGTGTATGGAGCTTGGTTTTGCTTAGTTTTTTTGGTCTTCTTTTCTCAAATAAAGCAACCTCTGGATTATGGGTATTCTATATATTCCTATGACCTGGTAGGATTTGTAGGATAATTGTTCAGAACTAGAATATTGTTCTAAATTTTATATTATTTATCTTTTACTGTTTTTATTTTTTGTTGTAGTCAGAGATTGTTGGTTAGTTCATAAGAATAAGTAGGGTTAGTCTAAAATGTAGGTAAACATTTAAAAATAATTAGTGAGACTAGAATTTAATAACAAATGTATGGCAAGTTTGACACACTATTTTTCTCTCTAGTTCTTATTTTTGTCAAAAACAAGTCATGATAGGATAGTACTGAGTTGTTTGTAAAATAAATTTTAGTTTCATATTTGGTCTGATTATCTGTATAAAGAATAGTAAGAATAATTTTTTTTTTTTTTGAGACAGAGTCTGCTCTCCTGCCCAGGCTGGAGTGCAATGGCATGATCTCGGCTCACTACAACCTCCGCCTCCTGGGTTCAAGCAGTTCTCCTACCTCAGCCTCTTGAGTAGCTGGGACTACAGGTGCATGCTGCCACACCCAGCTTATTTTTTGTATTTTCGTAGAGACAGGGTTTCACTATGTTGCCCAGGCTGGTCTCGAACTCCTGAGCTCAGGCAATCTGCCTGCCTCGGCCTCCCAAAGTGCTAGGATTACAGGCATAAGCCACCACACCTGGCCTTACAATAATTATTTTATATAGGGTTTTTAAATTGGTTTTGATGGAATTCTATTCCATAAGTAACCTCAGATAATAATACCTCAGTTTAAAGTTGAGTCTAGTCATGGGTTTGTACTCTCAAATATTTATGAGTTGGGTCAATTTTTCTCTTTTTGAGGTCCCAAGAATATAGGGTTCTTGAGCCTGTTAGAAAGTGACATTCTTTATTTATTATAGGTTAGGAACCCTGTTTGGGAACTGCATAGACAAGGTATGAGGCCAGTTTTTCTAAGAGGTTTTTATTGGTTTCGGAAGTTAAGTTTGATTATTCAAAGGGAAATATATCCTTCCAGTCAAAGTCTTGGTAAAATAATCATTTTTAAAAATTGTGTCTTGTAAAAGAAAATGGATTTTTATTGTACTGATGTAAGCAATTATATTGTTATAAGTCTTGAATATTTATAATTAGTTTCTGAATTTCAGAGGAACCAGGTAGAGATAAATAAATATGTTTTAAATTTTGTTCACAGAAGTGTATGTTATTCAATCGTTAAAAGTTGTAGTTCTTTCAAAAGTTTTTTGACTCTGAAAAAAACAAAATGATGATCAGTAATTTTTTAGTGAAAAGTTAAAAAGGATTACTTCAGTTTTCTATTAGTCTATTTTGTTAACTCTTGTTCTGTTTGATATTTATAAACATTTTAGTTTTTTGTGAGTCTTGCATGTTTTTTTATTAGAAACTTGTATTTGAGAGTGTTTGTTAAAGTCTTATAGTTGATTATAAATCATCTTTTGAAGTGGATTAAAACAAGGTAACAATTGCCTGTGAATGACAAAATGTCCAGGGTAGTTGTAGCTAAGAATATGATTGACAAAGTAATTTGGTTATTTCTGTGGTTTACAATAGTTTAACACAATAACCTTAATTATGATTGACAGTATATATTTAGACATTAGAATCTTAGACATCTTATATGGTTTTGGAACATACATTAATATTATTTACTGAAATATAACTTGAGGAAGATTAAATATCATTTTGGCAGTCTCACATATTTAAATATGTCAAGTGATCCTGTTCACTTTTTTGGGGTTGTTTTAGGGGCCTTCTGTAGTATTTAAACATTAGGGGTCAGGGAAGACAATCTTGAAACTCAAGTTTAATTTTGGGAAGCCTGTCGAATATGTTAGAAGTTTAAAGCCAATTGATATTATGAAACAGAATTTCAGATTACCATAAGTCATTTGTTTTGTTAAAATGATTTAAACATTTGAAAAAGTAAAAACTTTTTATTAGTCTTTATTATGACTTGAAAATCTTGTTCAAAAGAAAGTCGAATTTCACCCTTTTATTAGTTTTTTATTAATGTCAATCCCAATTTTTAATGAAACTTTATAGATAATTCTATTTAATCTTAACCAATTTGACAATGAGATGAGATTTTTATAAACCTTTAATAATTCTTTATACATATTGTTAAAGTAGATTAGCTTCTTAAGAAAACCTTGGGGTGGCAGCCAAGAAGGCCGAATAGGAACAGCTCTGGTCTACACCTCCCAGCGTGAGTGACGCAGAAGACGGGTGATTTCTGCATTTCCATCTGAGGTACCGGGTTCATCTCACAAGGGAGTGCCAGACAGTGGGCACAGGACAGTGGGTGCAGTGCACTGTGCATGAGCCAAAGCAGGGCGAGGCATTGCCTCACTCGGGAAGTGCAAGGGGTCAGGGAGTTCCCTTTCCTAGTCAAAGAAAAGGGTGACAGACGGCACCTGGAAAATCGGGTCACTCCTACCCTAATACCGCGCTTTTCCGACGGGCTTAAAAAACAGCGCACCAGGAGATTATATCCCACACATGGCTCGGAGGGTCCTATGTCCACGGAGTCTAGCTGATTGCTAGCACAGCAGTCTGAGATCAAACTGCAAGGCGACAGCCAGGCTGGGGGAGGGGCACCCGCCATTGCCCAGGCTTGCTTAGGTAAACAAAGCAGCCTGGAAGCTCGAACTGGAGCAGAGGTGTGGAGCCCACCACAGCTCAAGGAGGCCTGCCTGCCTCTCTAGGCTCCACCTCTGGGGGCAGGGCACAGACAAACAAAAAGACAGCAGTAACCTCTGCAGACTTAAATGTCCCTGTCTGACAGCTTTGAAGAGAGCAGTGGTTCTCCCAGCATGCAGCTGGAGCTCTGAGAACAGGCAGACTGTCTCCTCAAGTGGGTCCCTGACCCCTAACCCCCGAGCAGCCTAACTGGGAGGCAGCCCCCAGTAGGGGCAGACTGACACCGCACACAGCCAGGTACTCATTTGAGACAAAACTTCCAGAGGAATGATCAGACAGCAGCATTCGCAGTTCATGAAAATCCGCTGTTCTGCAATCTCTGCTGCGGATACCCAGACAAACAGGGTCTGGAGTGGACCTCTAGCAAACTCCAACAGACCTGCAGCTGAGGGTCCTGTCTGTTAGAAGGAAAACTAACAAAAAGAAAGGACATCCACACTAAAAGCCCATCTGTGCATCACCATCATCAAAGACCAAAAGTAGATAAAACCACAAAGATGGGGAAAAAACAGAGTAGAAAAACTGGAAACTCTAAAAAGCAGAGTGCCTCTCCTCCTCCAAACGAACGCAGTTCCTCACCAGCAACGGAACAAAGCTGGATGGAGAATGACTTTGACAAGTTGAGAGAAGAAGGCTTCAGATGATCAAACTACTCTGAGCTACAGGAGGAAATTCAAAACAAAGGCAAAGAAGTTAAAAACTTTGAAAAAAATTTAGATGAATGTATAACTAGAATAACAAATACAGAGAAGTGCTTAAAGGAGCTGAAGGAGCTGAAAGCCAAGGCTTGAGAACTACATGAAGAATGCAGAAGCCTCAGGAGCTGATGCAATCAACTGGAAGAAAGGATATCAGTGATGGAAGATGAAACGAATGAAATGAAGGGAGAAGGGAAGTTTAGAGAAAAAAGAATAAAAAGAACAAAGCCTCCAAGAAATATGGGACTATGTGAAAAGACCAAATCTACGTCTGATTGGTGTACCTGAAAGTGATGGGGAGAATGGAACCAAGTTGGAAAACCCTCTGCAGGATATTATCCAGGAGAACTTCTCCAATCTAGCAAGGCAGGCCAACATTCAGATTCAGGAAATACAGAGAATGCCACAAAGGTACTCCTTGAGAAGAGCAACTCCAAGATACATAATTGTCAGATTCACCAAAGTTGAAATGAAGGAAAAAATGTTAAGGGCAGCCAGAGAGAAAGGTCGGGTTACCCACAAAGGGAAGCTCATCAGACTAACGCAGATCTCTCGGCAGAAACTCTACATGCCAGAAGAGAGTGGGGGCCAATATTCAACATCCTTAAAGAAAAGAATTTTCAACCCAGAATTTCATATCCAGCCAAACTAAGCTTCATAAGTGAAGGAGAAATAAAATACTTTACAGACAAGCAAATGCTGAGAGATTTTTGTCACCACCAGGCCTGCCCTAAAAGAGCTCCTGAAGGAAGCACTAAACATGGAAAGGAACAACCAGTACCAGCCACTGCAAAATCATGCCAAATTGTAAAGACCATCGAGGCTAGGAAGAAACTGCATCAACTAACGAGCAAAATAACCAGCTAACATCATAATGACAGGATCAAATTCAAACATAATAATATTAACTTTAAATGTAAATGGACTAAATGCTCCAATTAAAAGACACAGACTGGCAAATTGGATAAAGAGTCAAGACCCATCAGTGTGCTGTATTCAGGAAACGCATCTCATGTGCAGAGACACACATAGGCTCAAAATAAAAGGATGGAGGAAGATCTACCAAGCAAATGGAAAACAAAAAAAAAGGCAGGGGTTGCAATCCTAGTCTCTGATAAAACAGATTTCAAACCAACAAAGATCAAAAGAGATGAGGCCATTACATAATGGTAAAGGGATCAATTCAACAAGAAGACCTAACTATCCTAAATATATATGCATCCAATACAGGAGCACCCAGATTCATAAAGCAAGTCCTGAGTGACCTACAAAGAGACTTAGATTCCCACACAATAATAACGGGAGACTTTAACACCCCACTGTCAACATTAGACAGATCAATGAGACAGAAAGTTAAAAAGGATACCCAGGAATTGAACTCAGCTCTGCACCAAGCGGACCTAATAGACATCTACAGAACTCTCCACCCAAAATCAACAGAATATACATTTTTTTCAGCACCACACCACACCTATTCCAAAATTGACCACATGGTTGGAAGCAAAGCTCTCCTCAGCAAATGTAAAAGAACAGAAATTATAACAAACTGTCTCTCAGACCACAGTGCAATCAAACTAGAACTCAGGATTAAGAAACTCACTCAAAACTGCTCAACTACATGGAAACTGAACAACCTGCTCCTGAATGACTACTGGGTACATAACGAAATGAAAGCAGAAATAAAGATGTTCTTTGAAACCAATGAGAACAAAGACACAACATACCAGAATCTCTGGGACACATTCAAAGCAGTGTGTAGAGGGAAATTTATAGCACTAAATGCCCACAAGAAAAAGAAGGAAAGATCTAAAATTGACACCCTAACATCACAATTAAAAGAACTAGAAAAGCAAGAGCAAACACATTCAAAAGCTAGCAGAAGGCAAGAAGTAACTAAAATCAGAGCAGAACTGAAGGAAATAGAGACACAAAAAACCCTTCAAAAAATTAATGAATCCAGGAGCTGTTTTTTTGAAAGGATCAACAAAATTTATAGACCACTAGCCAGACTAATAAAGAAGAAAAGAGAGAAGAATCAAATAGATGCAGTAAAAAATGATAAAGGGGATATCACCACCGATCCCACAGAAATACAAACTACCATCAGAGAATACTACAAACACCTCTATGCAAATAAACTGGAAAATCTAGAAGAAATGGATAAATTCCTCGACACATACACCCTCCCAAGACTAAACCAGGAAGAAGTTGAATCTCTGAATAGACCAATAACAGGTTCTGAAATTGTGGCAATAATCAATAGCTTACTAACCAAAAAGAGTCCAGGACCACATGGATTCACAGCCGAATTCTACCACAGGTACAAGGAGGAACTGGTACCATTCCTTCTGAAACTATTCCAATCAATAGAAAAAGAAGGAAGCCTCCCTAACTCATTTTACGAGGCCAGCATCATCCTGATACCAAAGCCGGGCAGAGACACAACAAAAAAAGAGAATTTTAGACCAATATCCTTGATGAACATTGATGCAAAAATCCTCAATAAAATACTGGCAAACCGAATCCAGCAGCACATCAAAAAGCTTATCCCACCATGATCAAGTGGGCTTCATCCCTGGGATGCAAGGCTGGTTCAATATATGCAAATCAATAAATGTAATCCAGCATATAAACAGAACCAAAGACAAAAACCACATGATTATCTCAATAGATGCAGAAAAGGCCTTTGACAAAATTCAACAGCCCTTCATGCTAAAAACTCTCAATAAATCAGGTATTGATGGGATGCATCTCAAAATAATAAGAGCTATCTATGACAAACCCACAGCTAATATCATACTGAATGGGCAAAAACTGGAAGCATTCCCTTTGAAAACTGGCACAAGACAGGGATGCCCTCTCTTACCACTCCTATTCAACATAGTGTTGGAAGTTCTGGCCAGGGCAATTAGGCAGGAGAAGGAAATAAAGGGTATTCAATTGGAAAAGAGGAAGTCAAATTATCCCTGTTTGCAGACGACATGATTCTATATCTAGAAAACCCCATCGTCTCAGCCCAAAATCTCCTTAAGCTGATAAGCAACTTCAGCAAAGTCTCAGGATACAAACTCAATGTACAAAAATCACAAGCATTCTTATACACCAATAACAGACAAACAGAGAGCCAAATCATGAGTGAACTCCCATTCACGATTGCTTCAAAGATAATAAAATACCTAGGAATCCAACTTACAAGGGATGTGAAGGACCTCTTCAAGGAGAACTACAAACCACTGCTTAAGGAAATAAAAGAGGATACAAACAAATGGAAGAACATTCCATGCTCATGGGTAGGAAGAATCAATATCGTGAAAATGGCCATACTGCCCAAGGTAATTTATAGATTCAATGCCATCCCCATCAAGCTACCAATGACTTTCTTCACAGAATTGGAAAAAACTACTTTAAAGTTCGTATGGAACCAAAAAAGAGCCTGCATCAACAAGTCAATCCTAAGCCAAAAGAAGAAAGCTGGAGGCATCACACTACCTGACTTCAAACTATACTACAAGGCTACAGTAACCAAAACAGCATGGTACTGGTACCAAAACAGAGATATAGATCAGTGGAACAGAACAGAGCCCTCAGAAATAATGCCGCATATCTACAACTATCGGATCTTTGACAAACCTGAGAAAAACAAGCAATGGGGAAAGGAATCCCTATTTAATAAATGGTGCTGGGAAAACTGGCTAGCCATATGTAGAAAGCTGAAACTGGATCCTTTCCTTACACCTTACACAAAAATTAATTCAAGATGGATTAAAGACTTAAACGTTAGACTTAAAACCATAAAAACCCTAGAAGAAAACCTAGGCATTACCATTCAGGACATAGGCATGGGCAAGGACTTCATGTCTAAAACACCAAAAGCAATGGCAACAAAAGACAAAATTGACAAATGGGATCTAATTAAACTAAAGAGCTTTTGCACAGCAAAAGAAACTACCATTAGAGTGAACAGGCAACCTACGAAATGGGAGAAAATTTTCGCAACCTACTCATCTGACAAAGGGCTAATATCCAGAATCTACAATGAACTCAAACAAATTTACAAGAAAAAAACAAACAACCCCATCAAAAAGTGGGCGAAGTTCATGAACAGACACTTCTCAAAAGAAGACATTTATGCAGCCAAAAAAACACATGAAAAAATGCTCACCATCACTGGCCATCAGAGAAATGCAAATCAAAACCATGATGAGATACCATCTCACACCAGTTAGAATGGCAATCATTAAAAAGTCAGGAAACAACAGGTGCTGGAGAGGATGTGGAGAAATAGTAACACTTTTACACTGTTGGTGGGACTGTCAACTAGTTCAAACATTGTGGAAGTCAGTGTGGCGATTCCTCAGGGATCTAGAACTAGAAATACCATTTGACCTAGCCATCCCATTACTGGGTATATACCCAAAGGACTATAAATCATGCTGCTATAAAGACACATGCACACATATGTTTATTGCAGCACTATTCACAACAGCAAAGACTTGGAACTAACCCAAATGTCCAACAATGATAGGCTGGACTAAGAAAATGTGGCACATATACACCATGGAATACTATGTAGCCATAAAAAATGATGAGTTCATGTCCTTTGTAGGTACATGGATGAAATTGGAAATCATCATTCTCAGTAAACTATCGCAAGGACAAAAAACCAAACATCGCACATTCTCAGTCATAGGTGGGAATTGAACAATGAGAACACATGGACACAGGAAGGGGAACATCACACTCTGGGGACTGTTGCGGGGTTGGGGGAGGGGGGAGGGGGGAGGGATAGCATTAGGAGATATACCTAATGCTAAATGACGAGTTAATGGGTGCAGCACATCAGCATGGCACATGTATACATATGTAACAAACCTGCACATTGTGCACTTGTACCCTAAAACTTAAAATATAATAATAACAAAATAAAGAAAACCTTGTTTTTTATTTCAATGTTCGATTTATGAAAAAACATGTAATATTTTTTAATTTAGTTAATATGTTTATATAGACCGTGGTTTTGTAAAATTTTTATAACTTTTCACAACCTGTTTAATCTTTCATTTTTATTTTATTTTATTTAAGACAGTCTTTTATTCCTAGGCAAAATATTTATTTTTATGTCTTTTCATAATTTTTTATTAAAAACACTTTTTCCTGTTTTTACATAGTTTGTATGTAAATTTATTTATAGTAGTCTCAATTATATATCATAATGGTAGTTCTTAGTAATTTTTAAGTTTAGTGTAAAACCTGGTAAGTTGTTTTATTGATATGTTAGGCATAAAGTCTGAGTTTTTCTAGTATAGTTAGAGGTGTGGTTATTTCTCTATGTCCTCAGGTCTTATTAATTGTGAAGTATGAAAGTCAGTTTGTAAAGGTCAAAGAAGTAGTTTGCAATCTTAAAATATTTAGTAAATTTAGTATATGACTTGTATAACACATATCACATATTTATATCTTGAAGACATTTGTATTTTACCAATACTTTTTAAGACATTTTATTTTGTAAAGATTAAAGTCACGTGAACTAAGAGGCATTATAATTTTTAATTTTCCTTCAAAAATCTTTGGTGGTTTTTTTTTTAGGTTAATTAATTAGAGTTTTTTTTTTTATAGACATCACATATCTAACATATATATGACTCTATAGACAGAAGAAGATCTAGTAGTTGTAAAATTTTCTGTTTGTCAGTCTTCTGATTGGATTATTGGTCTCAGGATGGAGTTTTTTTTTTAAGAACAGGGCTAGGAAAATGTGCAGTTTCTAGGGCCTAATAAATAGGTATAGTTGGAAGACAAAAATAGATTTTGAGAGGGATTTATCTGACTCTAATTCTTTGGGTTCAGGTTCCACAAGGAAAACAGAGATTTCTCTCAAAATGGAATTTGTTGTGTATGTGTATATATGGTTTTTCTTTTATTTCCAAAGGAGTCTCAGGTCATCAGAAGTCATCTTAGGGCCTTTTATGCAGGTATTAAGGGTGGTAAGACAGAGTGGAGGAAAGTAATTTAGTTGACTGAGAATAAAACCTTTTCCAGAAAAACAAGATCTAAGAAGAGAAAACTATAAAGGTCTTTTAAATATACCTATAGTTTCAATATCAATCTTTAGTTGAGTGTTCTTTAAGAAAATTATTTTTCATTAATTAAAATTTTACAGAGAATATAAACAGTGATGCTTATTATTCTTTTTATTGGTTTGTATAGGGAGAAAGGCCAAAAGTCTGAGTAGATTTTTTTTTTTTAATCGTTTTGTTAGTATGTCTGGCTTTTCGGTTTTCTAGGGGAGTTTTTCTTGAAGTCTTTTTTGGCTGTATAAGTTTGTACCACTATTTGTTTATAGTTATGTTCAGGTTTTCTAGTTTCTTCTTGGATGAACCCCTTCTTTATTCTCATGCCTTTGCATCTGCTTCTCACTTGTCCTAAGCCTCTGCCCCCTTTGGTTCCTCCTGCCTCCAAGCCTTCAGTCCCAAACCCCACTCCTCCTCATTCTGCACCTGTTACACATTCAAAAACCACCTCTGCCATCCTCCCTCTCTGGGAAGTGACTGGGGTTAAAGGCATTGCTTGCATTCATGTCCCTTTCTCCATGTCTGATTTGTTGCTGATCAAAGTTTTAAGTATATTCAAAAGGCTTTTATATTTTTCTCTTCATCAATCTTGTTTTCCTAGAAAAGGTTTTTTTTCCCAGTTAACTGAATTACTTTTCTCCATTCTGTCTTGCCACTCTTAGTGCATGCATAAAAAACCCTAAAATAACTTCTGGTAGCCTGGGACTCCCTGGGAAAATAGAAAAGTTGACACAAATCTCATTTTGGAAAAATTCTCTCTTTTCCTTATGGAGCCCCTGGAATTAAAGGTAAATAAGTGTCTCTCAAAATCTGCCTTTGTCTTCCAGCTATGCTTGTTTATTAGGCCCTAAAAATTGTTTTCCTAGCCCTGTTCTTAAAGGGCCTCATCTGGAGGCCAATTATCCAATCAGGAAATTAGCAGATGTAAATCTTATAACTACTAGATCTTCTTCTGGTTGTCTGTCTGGCTATATGTGTGTTATGTGTGCAATGTCTATTAAAAGAGCTCTAATTAATTGTCCTAAGGAAAATAAGCACTTAAATATTTTTAAGAAAAAAAGGCTGTGGAACCTTTCAGTTCACATGACTTTGATCTTTGAAACTTACCAGTACAGTAAAATTAGAAATGTCTTAAGAGTTGCCAGCATACGTTTTTGTTTGCATTTATTAATCAAGCAATTTCATACTTATCTCTGCCAAATACTATAAGGTGTCAAAATTTGTTATAGAGGCTACAAAAGTAAAACTCAGCCCAAACAAAATAATCTTTGCTTGTGTAATTTTTAATAAATAAAAATTAATATTAGTTTAATGAAGATAGCTGCATCTGAAACTATTTAGTAAAATATCCTTACTTTTAATCTTGTGGCCTTAGGCAGTCTAGTCCACAGACATGAAGGAAGGTTTTTTGGGGAAAGAACTGTTACCTTTAATATTTTAAAAAAGATAACTTATATTTAAAAAACCTTATGTGGTAACTTCTTGTCCTAAAGTAAATTAACTGGTTGTTTAAAGAAAGGAATGTTTACAAGTCAAAAAATTAAGGCATATCAGAAATTGACTGTGAAGGTCATGGAAAATTTTATAAAAGAGAATTTATGCAAGAAATGTTGTACAATTTAAAAGTAATTAGGCCTCCTGAATGCTTTATAAAATGCCACTATAACTGTTAGCTGTACAACTTGCCTGTTTGCAGCTAAGTAAAACCTAGGACACATGAAGTTAAATGCTGGAATAAGTCAAACCTTATCTGCGCTTCTGTCTGGGTCCTAGTCTCTACACCTAGTACAGAATTAAAATCCCAAACTTATGAAGGTTTTCAACAAAAGTAAAGGTTGCTGAAAGTTAACACTGTAACATGTATTTAAAACTATTGAAGAAACAGTTTATGTGCAAGGTGTGTAAGAAAAGTAAAATATACTTTTGGTAAAAAGATTATTAAGGAGGCATAAGAATGTGGATTTTTACCTCCATTCAAAGGTTGAAGAATTGTTTTAAAAGCTTAAGCAAGTTTTGGAAGGTTAATTGTAAAGGAAATTCTGTGTGTAAACATATTGGCTAAGGTTAAAGGGGCATCATCCAGTTTTTCTGTAAATTGAGCATTAAAATAAAAGCACAATGGGTTTTTCTTAAAGCACTAACCTGCTCTTTAACAAAAATTATAAAGGGTTAAAAAGAGTCTGTAAAAATCTTACCTTATGCTCAGACATTAAAATTAGGTAAATATGTATACAAGGTTTTATTAAAAATTAAATTTAAAATTAATAGCACACTAATATAAAAGTATAATTTGGCTTATTTAGTATCAAATCATGCAGAAAGCATTGTCAAATATAAAATGGTGTTTAGCTTTCTTTGGGCTATATTTATATGAATACATTATTGTATGTGTCCCAAAGTTATAGGAAACACCTATAATTCCCATATATCTTAGTGTGTATTATCAGTAATAATTATAATTGTTATGTTAAAATTATTGTGTGCCACAGGGGTAACAGATATCCTTGTCAATTGTGTCTTCAACTATGGCTACCTTAAAACTTTTTGTTATCCATAAGCAATTGTTGCCTTGTTTTGGTCTTCTTCAAAAGGTGGTTTTATAATCAGCTATAAAGCTCTAACAGGTACTCTTAAATGCAGGTTTCTGATAACTTTGGAGATTGTAACATCAAAATAGAGGAAAAATGTTCAGGACTTTTAAAGAGCTAAAATGTTAATTAATATCAAACAGGACAGGAATTAGCTGCATAAATTAAATTAATAGGAAGCTAATCTTTTTAACATTTTGCTTAAAGTATTGTAATCCTTCGTTTTGCTTTTCAAAGTGAAAGACATTTTTCTTTTGAGCTATTAACAGCTTTTAACAATTTAGTTTACTCCCATAAACAAAATTTGGAGCATACTTGTTTCGGTCTACCTGATTTTCTCCAAAATTTGGAAACTATCTGTGAGTATTCTTAAGTTATGGCAATATAGTTATTTGCATAAGTGCAATAAGAATCTGTTTTTGTTTTGTAACAGGACACAATTGGAAAAACTGGTTATTTTACCAAGGCTTTGACTGGAATGGTGTGCTTTCCTTTAAGGAATCAAACTTAACTTATGAAGCCAATAAAGCCCTTGGAAAACTAACCTCATATTTTGTCTACAGAGTCCCTGTACAGGGTTTCTGATCCATGGTAAGTAAAGAATGTCACTTTCTAGCAGGCCAGGAACCCTAAGTTATCTTGGGACCTCAAAGAGAAGAGAAATTCACCAACTCATAGGTATTTAATGGTACAAATTCATAAATGGGGTTGGCTTTAAAAAGGCCTTATCTCAGATTCCTTCTATGGAACAAAGTTCCATCAAAGCTAATTTAAAAGGCCTATGTAATAAATAATTATTCTTGCTGCACTGTATACAAATAATTAAGCCAAGTATAATAAAGCAGACCAATCCTACCATAATCTGTCTTTTAATAAAAATGGGAAACTGAAGAGAGAAAATTATGTTTCAAAAACTATAGCACACCTGTTGTTAAATGGTAGTGTTGTGTAATGTTTTACACTTTTTATTATTTTCTACTGTTTAAATTCTAATTTTTCTTGCTACAAGTTTCTAAAATAAGCTATGCTTTCCTAAAGTCCTGTAAACCGAAAACCAGATGTTTCAGCAGGCACTGCCTCTGAGTCCCCCGACCATCACAGGAGGAAATCTCTTCACTGCTGGTGCCAACAACTAATAACTAAGGGTGTCCAGAATCCTTTGCCCCCATGTCTAGTGAGTCCATGGAACCCAGGGTAATTAAGACGGTACCTGTTACAGGAATCAACTCCTAAATACATCACACTCGAGTCAAAACCTGGAAAGCTAAGGAAGCAACCCCTGACAGCCCAAAAATGTCCTAAATATCATTGTCAACAAATAAGAAATCTTAAGCTGAAAATGATAAAAAGTAAGTAACTAAGTGAAAATTACTCATCTTACTCAGCCTCAACCCTACCTCACCAAATACATTTTATTTTTTCTACCTCTCCTTTTAAGCTAAATATTACAACTTTTTTTAATGGAAATTATTTACTATGCTACCCTCGTGAGAAATGCTTCACTCACTCTACTATTTGCGGTAGGACTATATACTGTAGTACCCTCAGGATGGAATATCTGATAGATAATCTCAGTTACTGTAAGATTTTGCTTAATTATTATCCTCATAACAGGAATAACAGTTACTAACAATAAAAAAAAAAACATGGATCTTTCCAAACATGCGCCTCTGACTGTCATTAAGAAAAAAAATGTTACTTCTGTCTCAACCAATCAGGCCTAATAAGAAACACTGCTAAAAAGAACTAATGTTTTTACCCAGCTTAATTAATCTTTTCCAAAAATTTTTAACCAACAGAATCATGGCCATTTCGTAGACAACTACCCAGAAACATCTACAGACCGTGTTGCTCCTGCAATCAATCCAACACCAAGAAAGTCTCCCCCGCCCCCCAGCAGGAAGTAGCGAGAAACAACACATTACCCTTTGTCCTTTCATAACTATAGGGTCTGGAATTATAGAACAGGAGCACCATCATCTCGGACAAACACTACCACTTTAAATTGCAGCTCCCTTTCTAGCCTCATGCATTTCAAGGAAATCACTTCTCTTCTAACTACAAGCAGCCAGAAAGAGCAGACAGTAAAACACAGAAAAGACAGCTCAGGCACAGGGGGAGGTGCGGTGTTATTTGGACCTATGACCTGTTTTTGTAGTTTCCTTTTGATGTCAGTGCTTGTCTGAGTAATACATTTGTCTTTTAAGATTAATTGTCCCTCAATTGAATCAGGAGATAGGGAGGTGGGTTTCACTAAAGTCTATCTCAGCCTTTCCATAAAGGCTGAGGTATTTTCATCTGTTTTTAGATTCAACATGGACAGTTTAGAGTAATTAAGAGACTTGGTTCTGATTTTTTGTCAGTCTTTTAATATGTACATCAGAAAGTGCTTTCTTTTTCACACCTCTATGGGATCACTAGAACTCTAGTTAGGGTTTTCAAGGGATATTGGCTCTCTTGTTATTGGGAATGGGGATCTTATCTTTTTCATTCTCTTTCCCCTTTTTACTGGTTTTCTTTTTCAGCCAGTTACAGGAGACATGTTTTCATCTCTGAATCTCTTTGTTGTCTGCAGAGCTCTCTGTTTCTCAGTAGTAGTTAGGGTTTGGTTTAAGAGTAACATAACATCTCTCTATGTAAGATCAAGCACTTAAGTTAGATTTTGGAAAGCCTTCATGTATCTATCAGGGTCATCAAATAACTTGCCCAGGTCTCCCTCTAGTTGTTTAAGGTCTTGTAATGAAAAAGGAATCTGGACTGTAGTGGTACCATGACTATCAGGCATTTCTGGTAGGGATAGTAGTGGACTCGGGGGTTTGGGTGGTAGAACTGGAGGAATTGATGACTATGTGACAAGAGAGGCTCTGGAAAATGGGAACAAGAAGGGCTGGGGCACCTGGGAGTTGCATTTGAGGGTTTTCTGGGGGGTCATTTCTCTGACTTTGGGGAGTTGTCTACTGTGGGCTTGTCTGATACAACTGTTAAGAGGGTAGGGTCAATTTTATAATGCTTACAAAGATCTGGGTTGTTTTTCAGGGCAAAGAAGCTTGCACATAGGAAACCTCAGACCGTTTCCTCTCCTGTGTGCAGGAAAGATCTAGTTGTTGGATAGTATTAAAATTAACACTTTTCTCAGGAGTCTAGGCCTGTCCATCCTAGAGTTGGTAAGAAAGCCATGCCATGTGTATAAGAATATAAGTCTTTTTTTTTAATCTGGTGGAAGTTCATTATAATTAGCAATTGACAAGGAAATCTGACTATTTCTGTAGCATACAACATAATAACCACAGTTATGGCATATTAGGTTTCTAAGAGTTGTATACAATTTTGGAACATTCCTATAAAAACACACACATAAATGTAACTGAAAGAAGGTCTAGCTAGCATCACGTATCATTTTACAGTGTTTTTTATACAATTTACCAGATAAGCCTAATCATTTACTGTCTTTTTTTTGTTATACTTAAGTTTTAGGCTACATGTGCACAATGTGCAGGTTACTTACATATGTATACATGTGCCATGTTGGTGTGCTGCATCCAGTAACTAGTCATTTAACATTAGGTATATCTCCAAATGCTATCCCTCCCCACTCCCCTCACAACAAGCCCCAGTGTGTGTTGTTCCCCTTCCTGTGTCCATGTGTTCTCATTGTTCAATTCCCACCTATGAGTGAGAACATGCGGTGTTTGGTTTTTTGTCCTTGCGATAGTTTGCTGAGAATGATAGTTTCCAGCTTCATCCATGTCCCTACAAAGGACATGAACTTATAATTTTTTATGGCTGCATAGTATTCCATGCTGTATAGGTGCCGCATTTTCTTAATCCAGTCTATCATTGTTGGACATTTGGGTTGGTTCCAAGTCTTTGCTATTGTGAATAGTGCCGCAATAAACATATGTGTGCATGTGTCTTTATAGCAGCATGATTTATAATCCTTTGGGTATATACCCAGTAATGGGATTGCTGGGTCAAATGGTATTTCTAGTTCTAGATCCCTGAGGAATCACCATACTGACTTCCATAAGGGTTGAACTAGTTTACAGACCCACCAACAGTGTAAAAGTGTTCCTATTTCTCCACATCCTCTCCAGCACCTGTTGTTTCCTGACTTTTTAATGATCACCATTCTAACTGGTGTGAGATGGTATCTCATTGTGGGTTTGATTTGTATTTCTCTGATGACCAGTGATGATGAGCATTTTTTCATGTGTCTTTTGGCTGCATAAATGTCTTCTTTTGAGAAGCGTCTCTTCATATCCTTTGCCCACTTTTTGATGGGTTTTTTTTTTCTTGTAAATTTGTTGGAGTTCATTGTAGATTCTTGATATTTGCCCTTTGTCAGATGAGTAGATTGCAAAAATTTTCTCCCATTCTCTAGGTTGCCTGTTCACTCTGAGGGTAGTTTCTTTTGCTGTGCAGAAGCTCTTGAGTTTAATTAGATCCCATTTGTCAATTTTGGCTTTTGTTGCCATTGCTTTTGGTGTTTTAGACATGAAGTCCTTGCCCATGCCTATGTCCTGAATGTTATTGCCTAGGTTTTCTTCTAGGGTTTTTATGGTTTTAGGTCTATCGTTTAAGTCTTTAACCCATCTTAAATTAATTTTTGTATAAGGTGTAAGGAAGGGATCCAGTTTCAGCTTTCTACATATGGCTAGCCACTTTTCCCAGCATCATTTATTAAATAGGGAATCATTTCCCCATTTCTTGTTTTTGTCAGGTTTGTCAAAGATCAGGTGGTTGTAGATATGTGGCATTATTTCTGAGGGCTCTGTTCTGTTCCGTTGGTCTATATCTCTGTTTTGGTACCAGTACCATGCTGTTTTGGGTACTGTAGCCTTGTAGTATAGTTTGAAGTCAGGTAGCATGATGCCTCCAGCTTTGTTTTTTTGGCTTAGGATTGACTTGGCAATGCAGGCTCTTTTTTGGTTCCATATGAACTTTAAAGTAGTTTTTTCCAATTCTGTGAAGAAAGTCATTGGTAGCTTGATGGGGATGGCATTGAATCTATAAATTACCTTGGGCAGTATGGCCATTTTTTTTCTTCAGAGTCTCGGGGTCAAAGGAATCTCAATGCTTCAGAATGCACTTGAGAAGAGTGCAGGCTGAAGATGGTTTGTTACTCATCTAGACAAGGGAGGAGAAAAGATGTCCCTTAGTCTCTTTCTTCTTTTTAGAGTGACCCAGGGTGGAGAGAAAGATAGAAAGGGTGTCCCACTTTTCCTTTTTTCTCTCATCCTCTGGGTCCCAGTGACTGTTATAGGAGTCACCCATGGATGCAAGTGTCACCTTCACCCATAGATCTGAACAAGTTAGTCGTTAGGAGTAGTCATGTTCACCTGTGTGAGGTACTAGTTCTGTGTCTTTCTAGATTTCTTAGATCATAAGCCTCCCTGGAGTTACCCTAGGTGTCTGGGAGACATTGTACAGTAGTCAGATTTGGGTAAGACCCTTTAATGAAGGGACTGTTTTAACCCCATCTCTGTCTTTTCAAGCTATGGCCCTGGTAAAGCATTGAATTTCTAGAGAATGAGACTGATTGACTATTAAACATAAAGTACTCTTTTTTGTTTAAATGTCAGTGTAAGTGGATGTAGAACAGGTGTCTCAAAAGAAGCTGAGGATTGAATGGCTGTCCTCCCGCTGATGGGGACATCACTGAGGCTAGAATTTGTTTCTCCAGGGAAGTTTCTTTCTGATTGGTGAAAGTGGCCTTTTTCTGTTCACAGATGGGGTATGAAGTTTGATCACTATTAGAGGGATATAGAAGGGAGAGGAATTGGGAAACTAGAGGTTTTGAGCAAAGGGCTGACAAGGCTCCCCATGGAGAAAAAATCCTATCCCCCTAGGAGGTGTTGTAGGGTCTGAAATGTTAGGCAAAAACTCTGACTCCAGATTTTTTCCAGGTAGAAGTTAGAGGTTTGAGGCTTAATAGGCTGTTCCTATAATATGTTCCACAGTGGAAAAAAAACTAATTTGCTTCATAAAGAAACTGTTAAAATTCATTGGGCAGTGGTGAATTTTTACATGGAGGAAAGACAACCCAAATGGAGAGGGAGGAGGGTATTCACTCGTGGTGAAATAACCCCCTATACAGTGTCATGAATGTCTATCAGTAGGGACAAAAAGGCCCTTATTAGGTGAAAATTTAGACAGAAATATTGAATTCCCCTTGTTTCTAGGGAATCACAAAATCAGTACCTATTTGAATTACATTCCTGATTACTACAACACTGGCTGAGTTTACCCAATAAGAATATATCCACAACTTGTAAAAATGCTATAACATTATATACAAAGAAGGAACAGAAGACATGATAGCCATGAAAAGAGAGAAAGAAAATGCAGTAGGAAAGGCTAGAAGTTCTGGTGCCAAAGCCCTGACAGGCTGTTGGGAACTGGAGTTAGTGCAGGAGCCTTCAGATAACACTGAGATGTAGCCTCGGCCAGTAAATTTCAGTTGTCTTAGGACCTCTTTTCAGCTGCATGTGACAGGTAGGTCTTCCATGAAAGAAAACTGGAGTGGAACAGAATCAACATTCCCAACACCTGAGGATGATGGGCATTGACGAAGTCCTCTTCAGGAAGCCTGTCCCCTGAGTCTTGTAAGGCTGGCAGCTGCCCTATTCACTGACAGGGGCCCAGTGTTTTGTTTGCTCTTGAGAGAGAAAAATATCTGAAATGAAAGTAAAGAGTTTGACGGTTGGCTCCTGCTAACCCTTCCCATAAATCCCATTCCCAACCCATGCACCAAAAATATGTTACAGTCTCATCAATGTATCAAAAATGTAGTAGTCTCTCATGATGTATCACCCAAAGTTTTTTGACTTACCACCAAGAAAATTGTGGACACAAAGGGTGAGGTTAGAAGGAAAGTTTAATAAATGAAAGAAGAAAGCTCTCTATAGTAGAGAGGGGGCCTGAATGGTTTGTCATCTGTGAGGTTGGGTCTGGGCTGTTCTGAACTGGAAAGGAAAGAATGTGTTGAGTGGACTTGGAGAAAGTGTAACTCAGCTTTGCCTTGGACCTAGGCCCAGGACCAATCAGAGACTGAAGTGAAAGTTTTGTCCAGGACCTTGGTCCGAGACTAATAGAGAGTTGGAGTAAAAGCTTGACCAAGGACCTTGGCCCAGGAGCAATCAAAGGCTGTAGTGATGATTCTTAGAGGCTCAGCTCACAGTCAAAAGCATGTCCAAAAAAGAAAAGTGTCCACTGGAAGCCACTGTAGCCCACAGTGTACACGTCCACAAAAGGAGAAGAGACTACTTTCTAGAAGCCTGTTGGTTACACAAAGGACAGGGGCATTTCTATGTTGGGTCTTGTTCTCTTATTAGTGTAGTTATGGGTATGTCTTAGGCTTAAAGGACAAAGGCGTTTTTATGTTGGGACAAAGGCATATCTGTGGTGAGTCTTGTTCTCTTATTAGTGTAGTTGTTGGTATGTCTTAGGCATAAAGGACAAATGTGTTTTTATGTTGGGCCTTTGTCTTTTATCCGAATGGGCCAGAGATTTGTGGAAGTTTCCTTATCTGTGTCTGCAGCCTGATTTTTCAGGCCATTTCTCTGTTTAAAGGAGTTTTACCAAGAACCCACCCTAACTTACTAACTTTTTTATCTTAATTCTACACATTAGGAAGTGAGAAGGGAAGACTTAGGAGGCATAGTGTCATAATGGGGACTAGATTGTGCTTCTCATGAAATACACTATTTGCCATCCACTCAGTTTACTGAAGGGAATTTAAAGTGTCACACTGGTCACAGGGAGGTAGGGTGAGCTTTGGGGTTGCTTTGCAAGAATTGCTCTAAAAATGATAGAACAATGTGCTTAATCTTGGTAGAACTATAACATGAGAAGTCAATTTACAACAGCTGTCAGACAGGGCCAGTTGCTTTCAGTGGCATAATTATCCATTTTATCCAGTAAGTATAAGGTGTGTCTAATATGTTATATTCAATTTCTACAGTTGATTGATATGGAATGAGACATGATTTTTCCATGCTCCAGGGTGAAGCCAATTTCTCTAATTCATTTGGGAATAGAAGTTATACTGGAGTTTAATCAATGTCCTCAGAGTACAGGTCTGTCACTGAAACCCGTGTCATCAAAATTGGAGGAGGCGGCCAGCAGAAACCGACAGTGAAAATGCTATTGGGGGAAATGCATTGATTTTCTTTGAGTTGGGCAGATCAACAACTCTTTACTCCTGTCTTATAGACTCCCAAAAGCCAGGCTGCCGAGGCCACCAAAGTGGCTATTGACGTAGGCTTCCGCCATATTGATTCAGCATACTTATACCAAAATGAGGAGGAGGTTGGACAGGCCATTTGGGAGAAGATCGCTGATGGTACCGTCAAGAGAGAGGAAATATTCTACACCATCAAGGTGAAAGTTCTGTGTGTACAGTAGCCAGAGGCCACTATAAGTTCAGATATATTATTTTGAAATGAAAACATGGTCTAAGTTGAATTCTTTATTTACCTCCTAATATTATGAAGGCATATTATAGAAACAGAAAAGACTTTCTTACTCTGAAATATTTTACTGGTAGAACACAATTCTTCAGTGTCTCTGAGCATCAGACAGTATTCATGTATAAAATGGAAATAATACTTATCTCCTTTAACTGTTGTATGGATTAACCAAGCCACTATGGGTCCACTCCTTCAGTTCTTCAGTAAGAGCTCTTAGGATGTAGCAAGTAAGGTCACATATTAATCAGAAAAGTGATCCAGACAAGAAAACACTTTTTCTCAAATCAGCATTGAGTTTTCTGAACTCTCTAAAATTGTCCTAGATGGAAATCCATGCTTCATATGTAAACAGAGCTGAGGTCTCCAGGGATGCACCCTGTGTGTGTTTACATCGATAATTTATTTTTAGAATGTAGGTCTCTCAGAATAATTCTTTCTAGGAATTTATTATACAGGACAAGAGATTCTGTTCTCCCTGTCCTGCCATTTCTTGACTCATTTTGGTGGATGAATCCTCTAATCCTTGATACGTTGAAGTTGATTTTCCTGCCCCTTATTAGTTTTACTCACAGTTTTCTTCACAGTTTTCTTACATTGCAGTCATTCAAGGAAATCTCAGTATCCCAGCAAGGACTTGATTTATACTGAGTAACATATGTTTAGTCCCAGCTCTTTTAGCTTTGGACCACAGTGTTTTAAGACTCATATCTCAATGTCTGACCATGAAGTTTAATTTTTGTCCTCAAATGTGTGAAATTATAATCCATTTTTGTTTCTTTTGGTCACTGCAGCTTTGGGCTACTTTCTTTCGGGCAGAATTGGTTCACCCGGCCCTAGAAAGGTCACTGAAGAAACTTGGACCGGACTATGTAGATCTCTTCATTATTCATGTACCATTTGCTATGAAGGTCAGCTTTTGTTTTTCCTTGTTATGCCCAAGACTGTTTCATCATGGTTATAAGCATCTGAATTATCTAATTCTAGCTTGGTTTCCAGGGTTCTTCCTGAGAGAGGCAGATTTGAGTGAGGTGCATAGGATTGCCAAAACTTTCGTGAGTATCTTTCACAATTGAGTGACTCTACCATCAAGATTTTCTGTCTATCCTTGTCCCCCAGCCTTAAGGGGGATTCAGATTCAATGATCTCACTTCCTCTACCCTAGACAGTTGAGGGCATTGCACTGTATTTCTCAGTGCTTGTGTTCCTGAATGGAAGCCCTGAGCCATTAGGATCTTCAAGAATGTTGAG